>NC_000001.11:233456848-233608364 GCF_000001405.40 Homo sapiens
TTCACCCTGTTAGCCAGGATGGTCTCGATCTCCTGACCTCGTGATCCGCCCGCCTCGGCCTCCCAAAGTGCTGGGATTACAGGCATGAGCCACCGTGTTTGGCCTGTCTTATTAGTTTTTATGAGTTTTAATGTTGTCTTTGGAGCAAGATAAAAAAATAAATTGGTTGAAAATGCATGTTTCCTACAACGAGTTGAAGCAGTGATAATTCATGTGGCCCTTAGGTGGTTTTGGGACAACCCAGTGAATTTGCCTGCTTTCAATCTAGTTTTGCCATTTGAAAATTCACTTTAGCTCTCAACTTGATCTTTTAAACAATGAGATATCAAATTAAGGGAGGCATTTTATAAGCTAATTCCTGCCCTCCTGCCCTCCTGTTGGAAGCCACATACCTCTTCTGTGGAACGTTTCCTGACACTCTCAGGGACAAATGGGCTCTCTCGTGTAGCCACCACTCTGGCCTGCAACTGAGGACACTTTATTGCATTTATTTGTTTGTCAGTCTCCACCTTCCTAACTGTCTATCTTTAATTTAGAAATTCTTTCCTTGTTCCTCACACATAGTTGATGTTCAATAAACTTTTGTTGAATGAATGAAATGAACTTCTGTGAAGTTATATCCACCCTCTGTATATAATAATAATATTGCATTATTGTGGCATGTCCACTTTGTGCCAGAGCCTTTTGAGATGTATCTTCCCAGCAGTGCTAATAGGACGACATTATTATTATCATCTTCGTTTTATAGATAAGGAAAATGAGGCTCAGAGAAAGCAACTCAAAGTCATGTAATGAGCAAGTGGCAGAGCTGGGATCAGAACCCAGATCTCTCTGGCTTCAAAATTCTTCCAACTAATTTTAAAATCAATTAATTAGCTAATTAATTAAGTTTCCAGATTTATTGAGGCATAATAGATAAATAAAATTGCTTATATCTATGGTGTACAACATGAGGTTTGGATACATGCATACATTGTGAAATGATCACCACAAGCAAGCTAATTAACATATTCACCCTCACATAGTTGCTATTTTTTTATGTGTGTGTGTAGGGGTGAGGACACTTAAGATCTACTCTTTTAGCAAATTTTGAGTATACAATACAGTATTGTTAACTAACTACAGTCACCATGCTGTACATTAGATGTCCAAAATGTATTTAACCTGCATAACTAAAACTCTGAACCCTTTGACCAATATCTCTCTAATCACACCTCTCCCCTGCACCCCATGCTAGCCCCTGGCAATCACCATTCTCTTCTCTGCTTCTATGAGTTCTACTTTTTTAGATTCTCTATATAAGTGAGATTATGCAGTATCTGTCTTTCTGTGCCTGGCTTATTTCACTTAACATTCTGTCCTTCAAGTTCATCCATGTTGTCATAAATGACAGGATTTCTTCTTCTAAAGGGCTGAATAATATTACACTGTATGTATATACCATATTTTCTTTATACATTTTATCCATTGATGGACACTTAGATTGATTCCAAATCTTCTCCATTGTGGACAATGCTTCAATGAGTTGTTCTAATTATTATGCCTTTTTAATCCATTGAGGTAAAAGAGAGTGGATCAGAAATATGTTCCCTGCAAACAACTGTTTTTGCCCTATTTGTGTTTTCTGAGCAGTGGATTAGTGAAAAGAAGACTGGGTTGGATAAAAACTTGGGTCTTTGCACTGATTGTTATACTAACCAACTGCTAGGCGGCCTTTTGTCAGTAACTTTACCTCTCTAAGCTCAGTTTTGTTTTGTTTTGTTTTCTGTAAAGTTTGGATAATGATATTACGTATCTCATGGTTTTTGTAAAGATAGATAACATTAGACAATGTACCACAAAATGATGCTTTTTAAAGTAGAAGTAAAATTAACGAAATATTTTCCCTTGGTATGTAGCAGCGTTTATTTTTTAAATGCTGGTCTGGCATAGCTGTGTGAAAGGAATGGTTTAGATCTGTGTCTGGCCCAATACTATAAAGAGAAATGAATGTGCTGGGGCAGTGCTTGATAGTTGCTCAAAAAATAAAAAATTATATATTTTTTTATTTGGACTGCAGTAAAGGTATATATAGGAGCTTTAATTTCTCAAGTACATTAGCAAAATCTAGTTTACCTTTTAGTATGAGAGATGATTCTTTAAGAGATCAAGGAATCCAAGACCTTTGTAAAATGGAATAGACTCAAGCCCTGTTTATTTACTTATTTTTTTGAGACAGAGTCTTGCTCTGTCACCAGGCTGGAGTGCAGTGGCACAATCTCGGCTCACCGCAACCTCCACCTCCCAAGTTCAAGTGATTCTCCTGTCTCAGCCCTCCGAGTAGCTAGGACTACAGGCGTGCGCCACCACACCCAGCTAATTTTTGTATTTTTAGTAGAGACGGGGTTTCACCATGTTGGCCAGGATGGTCTTGATCTCTTGACCTTGTGATCCACCAGCCTTGGCCTCCCAAAGTGCTGGGATTACAGGTGTGAGCCACTGAGCCTGGCCAAGCCCGGAGTTTTGAGTCTCAATGTCAGGGAGATAGTGGACAGGGAAGGCCTGAACTGTGTCCAGTGACAGGAAGAGAAAATAAGGCCCCAGGTATAAAACAATCTTAAGTAAAGAAAACATCAACATGGTATGGTAACCATGCATTTTATGGTCTGTGTGCTGGTGCTTTGACATCTGGGGCCTTGCTGACCTTGGGGAGACTGCCGTCCCAGGGTTTGCTGATCTCTAGAGAGCATCAGTCATTTTCCCATGAGCATGCTTTTCAAATGCAAATCAACCAAACCAGAGCTCATACCCCTAGCCATATTTTTTTCTCATGGGTTCTCATACTCTGGGACACTCTCCACCTACCCTAGTCACCCCAGACAACTAGGGTCAGCTGCTACAGCCCATAGCCCTCTGAAATTATTCAAACCAGCCAATCATAAGCCCATGTGCCCTGCCTTACCTGTTCCTTCCTGCAGAAACCACAGTAAAGTCTTTTACCCACAGTCCCCTGCCCCCTCTGCCTCTGACCAGCCCTGGTACTTCCCCAGGTGGCCTCTCCTCCTGGGAACCTTGAGTAACAACTTCTCTTTTCAACAATAGTCATCTTGTGATCTGTTGGCCTTACTCTACTTTGAATTTTTAACTAATACACTATATGTTAAAACACATACTGATGGCCCAGGCTGAAGACAAGGGCTTCAGCGGTCATGGAAAGGGTTGGCTTGTGTACAGAATAGCACTTGGGAGGCGTTAATGATCTTTTGGAACCTGCCCCTGGGCTCAGTGTTATGTTTCTGTGACTACACGTAGACACGTGAACTAAGAGAGCATCACTTGGTGCCCTGTTATGCTATTTCATAGCCCCCTGCAGGAATGTCAGGAATGTGGAGCAGCAAGGCTGTGCTCAGAGCAGACAAGTGTGGGTCTTGTGGCTAGGGGCCAGTATTCGTCAGCAACATTATGTGGTGCTGATGAGAGGCCACAAATGGCCCCAAAGACACCACTTCTCCTCCCACTTTGGTCAACTTTGCTTGGACCAAACCTCCAGGGTGCTTGGGCAATTTGAGGGAAGAGGGGAGAAAGACTCAAGAGAAGAGTGTTAGATTTCCTTCTAGTAAAGCATGTTTGCTTAAGCAGTTAACAAGCAAGAAGAAGAGTCATGATCATAATAATATAGATCTCATTATTGTTACTCAGTCGCTAGAGTTGGAATATGGTTTTTGTTGTGGAGATTAGTAGGAGGGAGAAGCCTCAGGGAAACCTGAGAAGTGGAGAGGGGCATGGAAGGCTAAAAGATGGGGCAGGCAGGGGGCCTTGTTCAGCATCACACCTCTCTACCCAGAGCTTCTCCTTCTGTACCTTCTCTCTGCTCAGATCACAGACTTTGCAGCCCAGAAGCTGCTTCTTGGCAAGTGCAGCCTGGGGCTCTGCCCCTGAGACTTGCTGCCACGTTTGTTATGCTTGGAGGTCCTGGGGATCCCAGACTGATGAACCTGGTCGTGTCTCACAGTGTACAGAGACACTTTAGAGTGTTACAATTCCAGAAAGGCTGGCCTTTGCCCCACTGGCCCAGCACTGCAATATCACTGTGCTGAATACTAAGTGTGAAGAGTACTGAGATGCTTCTTTCTACTCAAACATTATAAACATGCAGTTTCTTTCTCTAAGTAATTGCAAGCCTTCTGCTGTAATTCGTAGTGGAGGTCCCCACAGATCATTCGTCTTGCTCACAGCTCTCTTCCAATTACAAGAGAAGCCTGTTCCTTGTTTTCTTTTTGATTTTTATTTATTTTTGATTGACTAGGGGTGGATAATAGACAGTGTTTTAAGAATAATGAATTCAGAGAGAATGTGAAAACTACAGGGCCTGGAACAGGTCTCTCATCTTTTTTTTTTTTTTTTTTTTTTTTTTTTTTTGAGATGAAGCTCTGTCACCCAGGCTCGAGTGCAGTGGTGCAAAAATCTCGGCTCACTGCAACCTCTGCATCCTGGGTTCAAGTGGTTCTCCTGCCTTAGCCTCCCAAGTAGCTGGGATTATAGGCGCCTGCCACCATGCCTGGCTAATTTTTGTATTTTTAGTAGAGACGAGGTTTCACTCGTCTCTACTAAATTAGATGTCATCTCTATTAAATTAGATGTTGGCCAAGCCAATTTTGAACTCCTGACCTCAAGTGATCCACCCGCCCTGGCCTCCCAAAGTGTTGGGATTACAGGTGTGAGCCACCGTGCCCGGCCGTCTCTCATCTTTTTATTGGTATGTTTAGACTCAGTATTCAGAGGTAGGGTCATCTCATCAAAAACAAGGTGATATAAATAGAGCAGGAATCATGACCCCAAACCTCCAGTGGCTCATTCAAGTAATTAAGGAAGTGATTAATTAGATTCTGAGATGAAAGATAAAACATGAGAAAAATGCTTTGTTACTCTCTGTATTAGTCAGGATTCTCTAGAGAGACAGAACAAATAGGAGATGGATATAGACATAGATTAGATATGGATGTAGATATAGATAGGTAGATGGGAGAGGATTTATTAGGGGAATTGGCTCAAATGATTATTGAGGCTGAGAAGTCCCAGGACAGGTTGTCTGCAAGCTGGAGACCTGGGAATTCTGGTAGTACAGCTCAGTACAAGTCCAAAGGCATCAGAGCCAGGAGTGATGCCATCAGAGCCAGAGGATGATGGTGTAACTCTCATTCCAAGGCCAAAGGCCTGAGAACCCAGGGGTCATTGGTGTAACTCGTGGAGTCCAAAGATCAGAGAGCCTGAAGTTGTCCAAGGACAGGAGAGGGACAATATATCCCAACTCTAGTAGAGAGATTAACCTATTTGCCCTTTCTGTTTTTGTTTTCTGCAGGTCCCCAGTAGACTAGATGGTGCCTGCCCACATTGAGGGTGGATCTTCCCCACTTAGTCCTCTCAGACTCACATGCCGATCTCCTTTGGAAACACCTTCACAGACACACTCAGAAAAAAAACGCTTTACCAGATTTCTAGGTATTCCTTATTCCAGTCAAATTAACATCAAAACTTAATCATCACGCTCCCTTATTTTTGTTTTCCTAATTGTTTCATGCATGTAAATAGCTCTAAGAGAGTCCATCAAAACCATGAAATCTCTTCCCTCCCAGAACTGGGTGGCACAGAAAGTGGTGGAGGCTGGTGTCACGATGCAGATGAAATACGGACCCATGTAAATACAGACCTGTAGTCTGCCACTGCTACAGAGGCTCCACTTCGTTGTGGGATGTAAGATGCAGGTGCAGACTGAAATAGGGAAACTCTGAGCCAGAGGAGGAGACAGTGATTTGGGCCTCCATATGCTCTGCGGGATATAGATCCTGAGCTCCACTGACCCCCATTCCAAACTTAGGAGGCTTCCTGCTTTGGCTGCCATTCAGGGACAAATTCATGAAGACTTCCTCATAGCTCTTCCTCCCAAGGCAAATCCATGGACACCCTCCCCTCTGGCTCCCCTCCCAATTGGTGGAGGCTGGGGGAATGGATCTAAAGTAGGAGGGACCTCAAATCTGATAGTTATTCAGGTCTTACTGGAGCTTCCAGAGAGCTGGGCCTTGGGATCTTCATTTATAAAATGAGGGGTTTGCACCAGGCAGTCCGTGCCAGCTCAGATTCTGCAAACATGATTTCCTTTACCTATTTATTTCTAAAGTAATGCGTGGGCCTGCACGATGGCTCACGTCTGTAATCCCAGCACTTTGGGAGACCAAGTAGGAGGATCACTTGAAGTCAGGAGTTCAAGACCAGGCTGGCAAACATGGTGAAACCCTGTCTCTACTAAAAATACAAAGCTAATTGGGTGTGGTGGCATGCACCTGCAGTCCCAGCTACTCAGGAGGCTGAAGCAGGAGAATTGCTTGAACCAAGGAGGCAGAGGTTGCAGTGAGCTGAGATCGTGCCATTGCACTCCAGCTTGGGTAACAGAGGGAGATTCCATCTCATAATAAAATAAAATAATGTGTGCTACTTAAAAAGCCTCAAATAATACAATGTATATAAAATCCCTTCATGTGTTTTGAGCTGTGACAATGCAAATATGAAGAATGAGTAGGGATCATCTGACTGTCTATGACTATGTCTCCATTTGACGGGGACAATTTCCATTTGCACCTGTTGTCTGTCAGTCATTGCTAACAACACTCCTTTTATTCTCAAAATTTCCCAGTTGAAATGATTATTTATATGGACCACACAAGCATGGACAGCCCTGGGTGTGGTGCTACGCCACGGCTGGCTGATGAGAGTAGTTTCCCATAACTATAGAAGACATGGGCAGAGCTTTAGTTAAATAAGAAAAAGAGACTGAATAAGCTGACTGCTATGATGTGTCAAACCCACCAAGGCCTAGAATCCTATGTGATGTCCCCAAAACCCTATGAAAAAAGAGGGGGATTCTAAGACGAGTGAATGCCCAGTTATAACCCTAAGGTAAAGGGAGAAGGAGGGGCATCTGGGGAGTCAGTGGCCCTTCTAAGACTTGTAGACATCAAACGAACGCCACTCTCTGTGGGATTAAAAAAGTGGCAGAGAAATTCACACACACACATACACACACACACACACACACACATACACACACACACACACACACCACACCACACACCATTTCTTGACCCTACCTCCCTCTCCAGTTGTCATTTTATTCCATGCTGTCCCTCATCACCTGGTTTTCTGAAAAATAACCCTGGCCTTATTGTTTCTCCTCTTTTACTTTGGTCAAGCTTCTGTGCCCACTCCTCACTCTCACCAAGATCATTAATGAAGCACTTCAGGTCCTTGTTAGTTGACCTGCCTTCTTGCAGTGCAGGATGCTGATTGCTGTCTTTTTGAAGTCTTCCTTTTCCAACCTCTGTAGTGCTCCTTCTCAGACATCTTTGCTCAATCCTTAGAGTTTGGGTTCCCCAGTGTTCTGCCCTCATCCCATTCAACAATTCTTCCTGCAGCTCTTGTCCACACCAATTCAACTATTACCTACAAACCAGTGAGTTGAAATCCCTATCTCCAGACGTTTCTCATGAGTTCCATGCTTATATACCTGACTACCTTGAGACACATTCCTATAGTTTTTCCCCATGCACCCCACTTCACACGCTTAAACCTGAGATCATCAACTGCCTTCACCATTTCCCAAGCCTATCTTGACTCTTGCATCCCTAATCTTGTGGAATCTCACTGGCATCTACCCCGTTCCCAAGGAAGGTCTATATAAACTATCAACTTTATTTTCCTTTTACTCCTTACATCCAAACAGTCAATAGATGCTGTCAATTTTATGCTTTTGACCTATATCATGCTTCTGCCCTCTTCTCCATCCCCACTTCCCTTCTTCAGGCTTCTATTACTTTCCATCTAAAACACTGCATGGGCAACTTCATTGATCTCCTTGCCTCTAGCTGTGTTCCCTTTTGGTCCAACCCTGTGTACTCTGACATCAGAGCAACCTTTTGAAATCCCAAATCTGATCACTGTTGCCACTTTATTGGAGTTCCTTCCTATGTAGCTCTGTTTTCCTTGGGGTCCTGGAATGATATTGGAGAAGGCATGGATCAGACCAATAGCTATAGGAGAAATGGCACATAAAAGCCAAGGTCTTATCATAGGCTCGGGACATTCTTTATATATTTTTTTTCCTGAACACTGTTTGGATTCGCCCCATTAAGCAGAGCAAACACCAAGATTCTTTTACAATTGGAAAAAGGTCCTAAGAAGGAGACCCTGGGGTTCCAGTTAATTTGACTGTGTGGTGGCTCAAGAAGCTAGTTAGAAAGATATGTGACCTCATTTGTTTTCCTAAACTGATGAAGGGAGCCTACAGTTACATGTGAATAAGGAACTGTAGCAATGAATAAAGAACTGTAGCAGAGAGAAGAGACAACCTGGCACATGCTGGTTGGACTCCAGTCTTCCAGGGTTGGGAGATGCTCCTCCCGTACTGCATTCTAGTGTTTCCCTCTAAACTTCTGGATTCCATCACGTCTCTGCTAAATACACTTCAAAGCTTCCTTCAGGATTAAAGCAAAATTCTTGAGACTAGCACATGACATTGTACTTGGTCTGGCCTCTGCCTTCCTCGCTACTCTGCCAACTGTATCTCTTACTCCAATTAGACAAATCATTTTCAAAAGTGCCACACTTTGGTCTTGCTCCATGTTTTCTCTGCTGGGAACCTCTTTATTCTCTCAGGGCTTCTGTGCCTCATTCCTTCTTTGCTGTTTGGATGAGATTTGTTTATCCCCATCAAACCTCATGCTGACATTTGATCTCCAATATGGTGACCTTGGGAAGTGGAGCCTAGTGGGTGGTGTTTAGGTCATGGAGGGCGGGGAATGAATCCCTCATGAATGGGAGACTGAGGTGGGAAGATCACTTGAGCCCAGGAATTCAGGACCAGCCTGGGCAACATAAGCAAAGTCCCGTCTCTAAAAATAAAATTAAAACAGTTAGCTGGGCATGGTGGCACATGCCTGTAGTCTTAGCTACTCAAGAGGCTGAGGCAGGAAGATCTCTTTGAGAGGTGACAACATGCTAGCAGCCCTCGCTCACTCTCAGCGCCTCCTCGGCCTCGGTGTCCACTCTGGCTGCGCTTGAAGAGCACTTCAGCCCGCCGCTGCACTGTGGGAGCCCCTCTCTGGGCTGGCCGAGGCCGAATTTGGCTCCCTCTGCTTGCCCGGAGGTATGGAGGGAGAGGCCCGGGCGGGAACCAGGGCTGTACGTGAAGCTTGTGGCGAGCCCGGGTTCCGGCTGGGTGCAGGCTCAGTGGCCCGCAGTCGGAGCGGCCGGTCGGCGCCGCTGGCCCAGGGCAGTGAGGGGCTTAGCACCCAGGCAAGCAGCTTCGGAGGGTGCGCCAGTTCCCCCAGCACTGTCAGCCCGCCTGCGCCATGCTCGAATTCTTGCCGGGCCTCAGCCTCTTCCTTGCGGGACAGGGCTCGGGACCTGCAGCCCTCCATGCCTGAGCCTGCCGCTGCCCCTGCCCTGGCCTTGGCCCCCCGCCCACCATCTTCTTGCATGCTGTGGAAGCTTTGTTCTTTCCCTCTTTGCAATAAATCTTGCTTCTGCTCACTCTTTGGGTCCGCACTGCGTTTATGAGCTGTAACACTCACTGCGAAGGTCTGCAGCTTCACTCCTGAAGCCAGTGAGACCACGAACCCACCAGAAAGAAGAAACTCCAGACACGTCTGAACATCTGAAGGAACAAACTCTGGACACAGCATCTTTAAGAACTGTAACACTCACTGCGAGGGTCCGCGGCTTCATTCTTGAAGTCAGCGAGACCAAGAACCTACCAATTCCGGAAACATCTTGAGCCCAGAAGCTCTGGGTTGCATGGAGCTATGATTATGCCACTGCACTCCAGCCAGGGTGATTGCGTCAGATTCCATCTCTTAAAAAAAAAATGTCATGGAGGTTATGCAAGACAATGTCAAGGTCAAGGAACCATATTTTGTCACCGAAAATTCATTATCTCCTTCAACAGAAATATTTACATTGTAGCCCAGTGTATGGCTAAATTCCCTTTCCCAGTGTCCTTTGCAATTAGGTGTGTCATGTGACTGGTTTTCAATAGGTTGTGCACAGAAGATACATTTCTGCACCAAGGATTTTAAACAGTGGGTATGATACACCCTTAATTACTCTTCCTTTTTTTCCCAGCTAAGTGCAGAAAATGCCAAGACCCTAGGGGATGGTGGAATGACAAGATTGTAGGAGCTATCTGCCATCCAGAACACATATCTTGAACTGTTGTGGGAGCAAGAAACAAACATCTGTTGTATTAGCAACATGGTACATTATGTAGCCTATTAGTTATAGCATCTTGATCTACTCTAGATAATGTAGAAAGCTATTTAAAGTTGTTGTTGATGATAAAATGGTAGTAAGAATTGGTTGGCAGGGGTGAGACTGATAGAGGATATGGCAATAGTTTGAGATGGCTGAATCCACAAGACTGATTTAAGTGACTTCATGCAGAGGGTGAAGGAGAAGGAAAAGGTGATGAGGACTCTAAGGTTTTGCATGGGTGATTGGTGATATCATTCACTAAGGAAGGGATTCCATCAAGGAGGGTGGGAGACAGGGAACAGAAGGTGTCAGGGAGTGGGAAAAGGGCAGTCATGATGTGGTTGAGGTTGAGGTGTCAGTAGAAAATCTATATGGAAAACTCTGGTTTGCAGGTGAACGTTTATATGTGGAGGTCAGGCCAATGGGGTCTAAGCTGAAACCCAGGTGTTGATGAGGTAACGACATATAGATGATAATGGTAACAGTTGGAGCATCCAAGGAGACTTAGTGGGCCAGAAGCAGACCAACGGCTGACTATGAAGGAAAATCAACATTCTAAGAGGGGAGAGCCTTAAAATACCTAGACATAAGCCTGAAAAGGCCCATGTGACAAAAGACCAGAAAAATTCACATAAAGTTGAGACATACAAGTCTTAAATAAATGGAGACATTTATCATGTTTGTAAATTGGGATATCAAGATTGCAAAGAGATCGATTCTCCTAAAGTGATGTATAAAATCAATGCAAGCATAATACAAATTATAACATGACTTTTTCGAGGAATTTGGCGAAGCCATTCTAAAATCCATGTAAGACAGTAAGTATGTAAGAGAGGCCAAGACAATTTTCAAAACAAAAAAAATCCAGAGTGTGTATGTGTGAGAATTGTGTGTGGGGAAGGGATGGGGGGACCATAGCCCACTAGGTGTGAATGTGTTACAAAGCCAGAATGACTAGGACGGTGGCATAGTGGGGGATTAGACAAATGGACATAGGGCCCAGACATACATGAATACATCTAAGGGAATTTAGCATTGGGAAAATGTTTTATTTGTGTAAACAATTTACATGCAATCACTGCTTTGAACCATTCACACAAAACCAAATTGCAGATGGTATAAAGACCAATACATAAAATAAATAAATAAATAAATCAATAAGGGCTATGAAAGCATTGTAGGAAAAAAATCAGAAGATATATACTGATAACCTTTATTTCTTTATTAGACAAGGCACAAATGCAAAGTCAGAAAGGAAAGACATGTTATTTGGAGTACAATAAAAAAATCTTAATGGCAAAATATATAATAGTTAAAACACATGGACAGGGAGAAACATTTGTAATATCCATAATAAAGAACACATGCCTAGATGAAGGCTGTCTTAAAAATGCCTAAAAATAACAAGGGAAATGCAAATAGCAAAAAAAGATAAATAAGCAAAGGACAGAACAGATAATTCACAGAAGCGAGATTACAAGTGGCTTAAAAGCAAATGAAAATGAACTTAATAATTGGCACACAGAGAAATGCAAATGAAAACAAAGGATGCTATTTTACAGCCATCAGAATGGCAAATATTAACAAATTTTATGCTATTTCACATTGGCAAGTAGGTGTTATAAATGAGCATACTCACAAATTGTAGTGTAAATTTGTATGTCTATCTGAAAACCATTTTGGAATATCTATTAAAATGTAAGTACCCACCCTAGAGAAACACAAATGTGCACAAAAACTATACACACACAGAGAGCTCAATGCAGCTTTATTTACGATCATGAAATATTAGAAATATCTTACATGGACATCATATGAGAAATTTTAAACTGACAGTGGAACATAGATGTCATGTAGCAGGTAAGAACAGGAAAGAAAAGAGCTTGGTTTATATTAACTGGCATTAAACAATCTTTAAGGAAAAAATTATTACCTAGAAAAAAATGTACAGTATAATTCCACTTAGAAAAAACAGGACCCAAAGCACTATATATTCCTATAGAAATATGCATTTCATCTATGTACGTGAAGGCAGAAGAAATGTCTGGAAGGAAACAAAGAAAGCATTATTGACTAAAAAGGAAGAGGCTGAGGCATGTAATGTTATTTAGAGAGTTTACTTGAGCCTAAGAGAGGACAACTGCCTGGAAGACATAGGCCCAATTAACCCTGGATATGAGCTCCCTTCTGCCTTTGTTACAAGCGGGTTTTTAAAGGCAAAAAAGAGAGACATGGAGTGGGCTAATACAAAGTTGTTTGTTAGGAATTTTCATTGGTTTCTAGAAATAACATTGATTAGTGATACACTGCTAAGTTACGGTGTGGGTTATAGTGTCCAGTGCAGCATTATTAGGTTAATTTATAGTAATCTGTGGCAACAGCAAGCAGTTTCAACAGAAGAATACATAGCTCCAAGGGCACAGTAGGACACAGTTGCTGTCTCATTTTAATGTCTCTCTGGGCCTGATATTTTGTTTTAATTGCATAAATTTAAGGAGTACAAGTGCAGTTTTGTTACATGAATATATTGTATAGAGGTAAAGTCTGGACTTTTAGTGTAGCCATCACCTGAATCATGTCCATGATACTAACTGAGTAATTTCTCACCCCTCACCCACTCTCACACTCTTCTGAGACACCAGGGCCTATTAGTCCACACTCTACATCCATGTGTGCACATTATTTATTAATAGCTCCCACCTTTATAAGTGAGAACATGTGTTGTTTGGCTTTCTGTTTGTAAGTTGTTTCACTTAAAAATAAATGGCCTCGGCCGGGCCCAGTGGCTCACGCCTGTAATCTCAGCACTTTGGGAGGCCGAGGTGGGCAGATCACCTGAGGTCAGGAGTTTGAGAACAGCCTGGCCAACATGGTGAAACCCCATCTCTACAAAAATACAAAATTAGCCGGGCATGATGGCAGGTGCCTGTAATCTCAGCTACTGGGGAGGTTGAGGTGGAGAATCACTTGAACCTGGGAGGTGGAGGTTGCAGTGAGCAGAGATTGTGCCACTGCACTCTAACCTGGGCAACAGAGCGAGAGTCCGTCTCAAAAAAATAAATAAATGAAATAATAAGTAAATAAATAAATGGCCTCCAGTTCCATCCATGTTGTTGCAAAAAAAAACCAAAAGTCACATGACTTTATTGCTGAATAGTATTCCATTGTGTATATATACCACATTTTCTTTATCCAGCCATTTGTCGAGGACACAGTTTGATTCTGTATCATTGCTGAGTCTTTTAAAAGGACTCACATTCCTCAAACGAAAATTATTTTTTCAGCCGATACCAGTGGTTGTCTCTGGGGATGGACCTGGGCAATTGAAATGGCTTCTTAAGGAGAACTTTACCCTTATCTGCAATGTTTAACTTGTACACCTATAGAAATGTATTAATTATATAATTTAAAATTCATCACTTAACATGTGGGTAGAGAAAAGTCAGCATGTGAAGGAGACAGAGCAGAAGCAGATGGGGGCAAGTGGGAGGACGAGTGCTGAGGTAGAGCTTCAAGAAAGAGAAGGGAACCAGCAAGTGCTGCTGGCAGGGAGGGCCAGGTGAGGGGACTCAAAGTGATCCTCAGTTCTGGCAGCTGTGTGCTCACTGAAGACTTTAGCAGGAATTCTTTCCATGGAATATAAAGAATGTAAACCATAAATAAAGTCCTAAGTCCCTCCAATCAAATAAACACACTCCCTCTGGGCCAAGGGTATCCCAGAGAAACCTGGGAAAATTCAGAAAAACTGAATTCCCATGGGTCATGACAGGAAGTGAGGTTAGACATGCCTCGTTATACCCCTCCTTTTTGGAGTTTAGGCACAATGGACCAGCATTAACATTAAAACAGCGATCATAGGACAGGCAAAACAGACTCTTTGTGGCAATAAGATATAGCATATCCAACCCGACTCTGCTATAGCATCACATGACAGACAGCAGACCCTGAAAAAAAATCAAAGTAGTTTACCCTAACAGATATTTCTCTGACATATTTTTAAATGGCCTTGCAAAGTCGTCTTTTGTGGGGAACATTTTGCATCTGTAGGGAATCTCCATTAATGCAGCCAGGCCTTCCCCTGATCTAGGAGAGATTAACTGAAAGTCTGATACCTTCAGGGTCTGAAAAGAGACAGTTACCATCTATTCTCTCTGAAGCTTGCCACCTATGAGGCTTCATCTACATAACAAAAACCTTGGCCTCTACAATCCCCCTTAATTCAAGCGTTTCTTTCTACTGACTTCGAGTCTTTAGATGAAGCCTCTCTCAACCAATTGCCAATCAGAAAAATCTCTGAATCCACCTGTGACCTATAAGCCCCCACTTCAAGATATTCCACCTCTTTAGGCTAAACCAATGTACACCTTCCATGTATTGATTTGTGGTTTTACCCGCAATTTGTGTCTCCCTAAAATGTGTAAAACCAAACTGTATCCTGACTTTGAGAGGCGTTTGAACCAGAGCAACTCTATCTTGAATAGGAGTTGGGTAAAATGAGGCTGAGACCTACTGGGCTGCATTCCCAGTCGGTTAAGGCATTCTAAGTCACAGGATGAGATAGGAGGTCGGCATAAGATACAGGTCATAAAGACCTTGCTGATAAAACAGGTTGCAGTAAGTAAGTGGCTAAAACCCACCAAAACCAAGATAGTGAAGAGTGTGACCTCTGGTTATCCTCACTGCTACACTCCCACCAGCACCACGACAGTTTACAAATGCCATGACAATGTCAGGAAGTTACCCTATATGGTCTGAAAAGGGGAGGCATGAATAATCCACCCCTTGTTTAGTATATAATCAAGAAATAACCATCAAAATGGGCAATCAGCAGCCCTTGGGGCTGCTCTGTCTATGGAGGAGCTGTCAGGGCTCTGAGCCCAAGCCTGCACTTATAAATCCAGATAGCCTGAGGCAACTGAAGAACCACAAAAGAAGTGAAAATGGCCAGTTCTTGCCTTAACGGATGACATTACCTTGTGAAATTCCTTTTCCTGGACAATGAGTCTCAGAAGCTCCCCCCACCGAGCACCTTGTGACCCCTGCCCCTGCACGCCAGAGAACAATCCCCTTTGACTGTAATTTTCCACTACCTACCCAAATTCTATAAAACTGCCCCACCCCATATCCCTTTGCTGACTCCCTTTTTGGACTCAGCCCGCCTGCACCCAGGTGATTAAAAAGCTTTATTGCTCACACAAAGCCTGTTTGGTGGTCTCTTCACATGGACGTGTGTGACAGTAGCCATTCTTTTATTCCTTTACTTTTCTAATAAACTTGCTTTCTGTTTATGAGACTCGCCCTGAATTCCTTCTTGCATGAGATCCAAGAACCCTCTCTTGGGGTCTGGATCCAGATTGCTTTCCTGTAAACTCACCACCTCAAACACACTTCCTCAGAACCTGTTGAGATTGTTCTCTGGGCCATGGTCTGTCATATTGCTCAGAATAAATCTCTTTAAAATATTTTACAGAGTTTGGTTTTCCTGTTAATATAACATAAGTCACATTGGAGGAAGTTGAAGAGAGAAAATTGAAGTAAGGAAGTAGAGATAGCAAATATAGACTACATTTCTCAAACTTTCACTGTGCAGGGAAGGAGGTAGAGGTTGGAGAAGAGTCTCTGTTTTGCAAAGATGCTGAAAGTTGAATGCCCTGAGGAGAAGGAGCCAGTGGAAAAGTGTGTCACGTGCGTCTGTGTGAAGAGACCACCAAACAGGCTTTGTGTGAGCAATAAGGCTTTTTAGTCAACTGGGTGCAGGCGGGCTGAGTCCAAAAAGAGAGTCAGTGAAGGGAGACAGGGGTGGGGACGTTTTATAGGATTTGTGTAGGTAGTGGAAAATCACAGTCAAAGGGGGTTTTTCTCTTACAGGCAGGGACAGCGGTCACAAGGTGCTCAGTGGGGGAGGTTCTGAGCCAGGAGAAGGAATTTCACAAGGTTAATTGCTCAGTTAAGGTGGGGCAGGAACAAATCACAGTGGTGGAATGTCATCAGTTAAGCCAGGAACCGGCCATTTTCACTTCTTTTGTGATTCTTCACTTGCTTCAGGCTGTCTGGATGTATACGTGCAGGTCACAGGCGATATGATGGCTTAGCCTGGGCTCAGAGGCCTGACAAAGTGGGCATGGGAAAGAGGGGGTTAACTGGCAAAATAGGGTCATGCGTGAACCCTGTGGGCCTGGGGAGATTGACAAGAAGAGGCAGCCTTCTCTGACAAGACAGCAAAGAAAGGAAGGACAGGGTCAGTGACATTAGGTTTGTAAGGGTATGGAGTTGAAAGTTTGTGAAGTAAATCCAGGCAAGATTTTCCACCAAAAAAACTGTACAATGGAGGAGATAGAATTTCAATATTTACATGAAGATTCACTATTAAGACATTACTTTACAGGTATATAAAAGTATATTATCATGAGTGAGTGATGACTATTGGGCTGCTGGTGTAGGGGTAAAAGAATTTACCAAGACGGTTGTAAGTAAAGAAAGGCAGATTTATTGGAGAAAGAATGAAAACATATTGCGAGGAGGCAACGGGCAGACCAGCAGAAGAGGAGCTGACTGCAAGGAAACAAAGACTTGCAGGGAATGTTATAGGGTGGCTCTTAGGGTGCAGAGTGCTACGTGCAGCACTGGTAACATCTGAGGCAGTGCTCCTTTTGCGGGGGCACTAGCTGCTGGGTGTCTGTTCCTGCAGACCCCTGTTGGCGACGGATGAATAAAGTACACTGACACACAGGTATTCTGCTTTGCCAGTCCAGCTGAGGGTGCCAGCCACTTACAAGCTCCAAGCTGAGTTCTGTAAACAGTTGCAACTTGCCCCATCAGATAGTGAGGCTCCCATTTATTCACTAAGACTAATTAACCAAAGTTGTGAGTAAACACCAGTAGAGGGTAAAGATTAAAGGCCAGGTTCCCGGGCCTAAAGCAAACACCATAATAAATAAACTTCTGCCCACCCCTGAGTAGGAGGCAGGAAAGTACCCGCAGTAGGACAGAGGTCGGTCTTAAGCCCATATACGTAAACAGGTTAGTAAGATAAACTTCCCACATGCCTTTGTACTTGCACCCTAATCTTTCTGGCTCCTATAAAGAGACCCTGGCTGCCTTCGGCCAAGCAATCTGAAGCTACACAAACTCAGGCCTTCAAAGAGAGTTTTGTGTCTATTTCTATAGCTATCTCTAATATTTTTCCCACCAGCCTGATTGAACCCCAACAAACACCAAGGTTGCAGTGAGCTAACTTGCAATGGTGATATCTGGGTGCAGGAAGATTGTGAGTTATTTGTGCAGGTGGGCTATGTGTCCTGAACCATGAAGAAAAGAGGCTTGCAGCTTATCTGCCTTTTCTTTCTGCTTTCCCTTAGTCATACCAGACAACTCTTTTCCCCTACTTAGGATTACACATACATGTGAGGAGCTTCAACTGCTTCACTTGCAAATTAGAGATGATTCAAATTCATGAAGTAATGACTGACTCCCCTCTATCTTTTAAGCAGAATGCTAAACACTAAAAAGGGGAAGATGCATAAGATGTTGCTGAAATGTTTTCTTGTTACAAAAGCAATTCACAATCATTGAAGAGCATTTAAAATATGGAAAGTTACAATGTAAAAAACAGAAATCATCCAAAATCTCAATTCTCAAAAAAGAAAACTTGATATTTTTCTTTCTGTGTTTTTTATGCACATACATTTTTTCTAATAAGATAAGATGACATTATACTTAGAGATTTCCATCCTATTTTCCCCTCCATGTTATTAACTATTTTTGGAAATGCCATTTTAATTTCTGGATAATTATGCATCACACAGATGCATCATAATTTATTGAGTAAGCATGATCTTAAGGAAATACACAATATCTACTTAAATTCAACGTGAGGATCTTATGCTGTAATACTCCATAGAAAGTAAGAATTAGAAAATGGAAGTAGAGAATCAGCTGGTCAGCCAGTAAATATTGGCCCTATACTTTATGCTAATATTTCTTCACATTTTTCCTATTATTTTTTGACCAAAACAATACCCAAATTCTGTAAAATATTTAAAGGGGGTTTATTCTGAGCCAATATGAATGACCATGGTCTGGGGAACAGCCCCAAGAGGTCTTGAGAAAGTGTGCCCAAGGCAGCTGGATTACTGTTTGGTTTTGTACATTTTAGGGAGACAGGAATTGTAGGCAAAAATAATAAATCAACACATGGAAGGTATACATTGGTTTGGCCTGAAAAGGAAGGACATCTTGAAGTGGAGGGATACTTCCAGGTCATAGGTGAATTCAAAGATGTTCTGATTAGCAATTCATTGAAAGAGTTAGGCTTCATCTAAAGACCTGAAGTCAGTGAAAAGAAATGCTTGAATTAAGATAAGGGAGGCTGTGGAGGCCAAGGTTCTTGTTATGCAGAGGAGGGCTCATAGGTAGAAGGCTTCAGAGAGAATAGATGGTAACTATTCTCTGAAGTTATCAGACTTTCAGTTAATCTCTCCTAGATCAGGGAAAGGCCTGACTGCATTAATGGAGATTCCCTACAGATGCAAAATGTTCCCCACAGAAGACAACTTTGCAGGGCCATTTAAAAATATGTCAAAGAAATATCTGTTGGGATAAACTACTTTGATTTTTTTTCAGGGTCTGCTGTCTGTCATGTGATGCTATAGCAGAGTCAGGTTGGATATGCTATATCTTATTGCCACAAAGAGTCTGTTTTGCCAGTTGTATGATCTCAATTTTAATGTTAATGCTGGTCAGATGTGCCTAAACTCCAAGAATGAGAGAATATAACAAGGCATGTCTAACCTCCCCTTCCCATCATGACCAGAAATTCAGCTTTCCACCTTTCTCTGGGATCCCTTTAGCCAAGAGGGGATCCATGCATTTGGTTGGAGGGCTTAGAATTTTATTTTTGGTTTACATATCTTTTCTCTAAAGTAAAAGATAAATTCTTTAAATCTATTGGTCTGGTCATAATCTTTCTGTTTTCCTATTGACTGATGTAGACAAAGAATTAGAGAAGTAAAAATGCAAAGTGTATACCTCAACAAGTACTTGTCTGCACAGTACCCATCCATATTAAGCAGGGCTGGGTATGGAATTTGTAGGGTCCAGGGCAAAGGAAAAAAACAAAAGAAAGAACGTACAAGTAAAGGTACTAAAATACACATTTCTTTTCTTTCTTCCACGGTTGCTGTCTCTCGAGTTGTTCTGGTATTTTAAAATTTGTCATTTAATGATGTTCTAAGTAATAAAAATTATGTTATTAGCGTTAATTTTACCATTCATATTTATGTTGTTGAATGCTAGTTTTAAATGCAAACGTAACAGCATTTAACGGATATGCAAAATCACCAAGATTACATGATTCGTATTTCTTAGCTCATATATGCATATGTATTGAGGGAAATAAAAATACTACATCCGCAAAAATACTTTTTTGACACATTTTGAGATGACTATTCAGAGAGACTGCAAAAAGAAATAAAATCACCCTTGCAAAAATTGTGATAGTGAAAAAATTAGGACAGTGAAAGAGATCTGACCTAACCAACTCCATCTTGTTCCAACCTCCAAGTTGCCCTTGTTCAATCCCAGGCATAGGCAGAACTACCTTTGGGAGGAACTTAGTTTATAGTTTAACTTTGAAACAAAGAGGACAGCCATTGCCTGAAACAAATCTCCTTCTTTCCTGGGGACTAGACTGCCTTTGTAGGACTAACAAATTAGCCACAAGATTTGCAACTTCCCCAATTACTTCTGCAGATAAGTCACTAGTGTAGAATCTAAGATTGGCCTTTTGAGATGTCTTTTCAGGTTTTAGCATTTCTGACTACTGATGGGTCCACCCAGACCCATTAACCTGTCCTGTGGCCCCACCCAGAAGTGGACTCGGTGCACACAAGGACCATTTTCCACACCCCTGTGATTACGCCCCATCCAATCAGCAGCACCCATTCCCCAGGCACCACCTCCCCCCAAACTATGCTTGAAAAACTCTAGCCTTCAAATTTTCAGAGACTGATTCAAGTAATAAAACTCCAGTCTCCCAATTCAGCCAGCTCTGCATGAACTAAACTCTTTCTGTATAGCAATTCCTCTGTCTTGATAAATCAGTTCTATCTGGGCAGTGGGCAAAATGAACCCTTCAGGTGGTTACAGAAGTAGCCTTGAAAAGCTGTTTTCTGTGGGGGATATTAGCCTCTTTAGAGAATCTGCATTGATGGCACCAGGCTAGGAAAGATTATCTGAGAGTCTGACACTTTAAAAGGTCTGAAAGAAACATTTAGCATCTCTTCTCTCTGAGAGCTGCTACCTGTGAGATCTACCTGTTATCCACATAACAAGAGCACCTTTGCCAGCCACATCTCATCCTCTCTCCCTCTCATAACCTGTTTCACCACCATAACCTGATTTACTAAGCTCCAACCCCCTATTTTTTCCTGTAACCTCAAGATGGCATAAAAGCATCAGCTATCTGCCCATTTCCTTGAGTTCTTTCATTTTGTAGGACTCTTCTGCATGTTAATTACCTTTCCTCCTATTAATCTGTTTTTTTTTTCTGTTCAATTTTCAGCCAATCTTCAGAGGGTGTTTGCCCTTCACAAATAGTATTTTGTTCTTAGCAGAACAGTGAAAACTGCACAAAACTTACTCAACTGTTTCTATGTCACTTCTGAATAAGTACAATTGCCATCAGCACTCTTCACTTTTGGCTTACTGATGAGCAAGGAAGGACAGAAAGAAAAAAAGACTGTAGTTGCCCTATCTTTCTTTTTCCTTCTACGTCATTTTCAGCATAAGTGGTTGGCTAATATAGGGAAGTTATTATGCAAGTAAGAAAGATTATAAGAGGATTTCTTGGTCATTTGGGTTTCTTAGAACTCCATTGTCTTCTTTCTATGTTCAAAGCAAGCTCTGATTTGAACAGAAAGCATAGCTTCTCATGGCTGTCATAGTCTTTACTTACTCAGGCATAGACATAACATATGCACTTCTTTGAGTCTCCCTGATTCCCACGAATTCTGGGTCCACTAGCATTCTGTACTCATGGAACCTTGGGAATGCTATATGTGAATGGGGTGGCAAGGAATAGGGGTGGACATGAATATCTCCTGCCCATATGCATGCTCCATTAACCCATCCACTTTACTTCCAGACACCAGCTGAAAGACAAAATTATTAGGAGTTTCTAGATGATGGCTAACAGTAGAGCAGTAAGCCAAGACGCAGGCTTGTATTAGTCCATCCTTATGCTGCTAATAAAGACACACCCAAGACTAGGTAATTTATAAAGGATAGAGGTTTAATTGGCTCACAGTTCAGCATGGCTGGGGAGACCTCAGGAAATTTACAATCATGGCAGAAGGGGAAGCAATCATGTCTTTCTTCAAGATGGCAGGAAAGAGAGGAATGAGAGCCGAGTGAAGGGGGAAGCCTCTTAGAAAACCATCAGTTCTTGTGATAACTTACTATCATGACAACGGTTGGAGGAAACTACCCCCACGATACAATTATCTCCACCTGGTCCCTCCCATGACACATGGGGATTATGGGAATTACAATTAAAGATGATATTTGTGTGGGGACAGAGCCAAACCATATCAGGGGCTCCTCTGAACATAAGCACTGGACAACTGTACAGGCCACATGCTGATGAAGCCAGCCCTGATGTTAAGGCATGGATGCTGGCCAGGCCTGTCTTGATGATGTGTTTGCTCAGACTAAAAGCAGGTTTACTGTGAAGCTAGCAAACCTTAAGCTTCAGAGACTCTCATTTGCCCAAGAGCTCACCAGCAGGGAGCCGATGGGAGCCATAGAATGTTCTGGGTGGAAAGGAAAAGCCAGGGTGAAATGAGGAGGCATTTCTCTGTAGATTTCTGGCAAATCTAAAGGGATCTGAGGAGAAAAAGGCCTGGAATTTCTAAATTCCTGTAATTTGTTATGAATTCTTTATACATTCTTAAAAAAGTCACTTTTGAACTCAATTTTGTATTTTTTTCTTAAAGAGATGTCTTAAATGATATTAGCTTCAGGCCTCACAATACCTAGATCCATTGCTGTGCTTAGCTCGGTAGTGAAAACATATTTGACTAATTTGTTTATTCTCTTCCTACTAATCAAATATCCAAACTGCAGGAGCCCTGTGTTTCATTAACTTTACACCTGCTGCACTTGCCCTCTAGACACAAAACAATATTTTATTCCCATTCAAGGAATACCCTGCTCCTCTCCTCCCTCATGCCACCATTTCATATCCACCAGGGGTCCACATTTGCCACTGAAGCCTGTCGCCATTCCTGTAATGATAGTACCACTGTTTACCTCAGTGACACACACTATGTTTACAAGATTGTTCCTGAGTGCCATAGGGCCAAAATTAGCTATTTTTCCAGGGGAAAAGACTTCAAACTCATTATCTTTAGGAAATGCAAAATCTATTTAGCTAGAAAAACCTAGGAAATTTAGTAGTTTCTGAACATTGGCATCAAGTATTGAAAACAGAAACAAGACCTTCACTAGGTAAATAACCAGCCTCACTAAGCAGTGAGTCAACACAACTTTGGACCTACTGAATATGACAAATGAGATCTAGGTAGGGCTGTCAAAGAGAAATGGGCAGAAACGGAAGTCTGGCCACCCAGAAGGCAGAGGGTAGGGTGGGTCTGGTGAATTTCAAAAAGAGCTCAGAAATCTGTTGGATCAAATATTAGACATACAGGTCGATATCAGTCTTGATTCTTTAAATCTGTCTGCCTGTGGCAAAAATTCCAGGCAGCTGGGAAGGGACAGACAGACATGATCTAGTCTCTGATGAGAGGAGGAGGCAGGAAATAGTTAAGTTGGTCTAGTATGATCACACTTTCAACAAAACAAGAAGGATTTCTCAGGAACACTGGCAACTGAATTTTGATTTAATAATTTGGACATTTAAGTTTGTAATCTTACCAAAACAGAGCACTGAGGTATATGGAATTTGAGCCCCAACTTCCCACACCTATAGTTGTATTGTAGGTTTACAACCTCACTGTGGTTTCAAGGTAGGGAGAGTGTACTTCCGTACCCCTTAACTTTGAATCTTGCCATTTGACTTCCTTTGGCCAGTAAGATGTTGGTGAACATGGTTCAGACAGAGACATTCAGATATGTTTGTGCCTTTGGGCTTATATCCACACAGCGTGGTAGCCTGCCACGAGCAGAACATGCTCCAAGTTCTTCCTTGCCCTCAGCTCGTGTCTGAGAGGGAGGCACATGGAGCCAACCACATGTCCTGGCCGGTTCCTAAATTAAGAGGCATGAGAGGCATGTGGAGCCACACTAAACCCTTACGAGCCTGGAGTCGAGCCAAGCTCAACTATATTGCACTCAACCCACAGACCTGAAACTACACATTTTGGCTTTTTCAGCCAATGAGCGTTGAGTATTTTTATGCATCATTATTGTGGAACTTGCTGACTAACACTGAAAATGGGGTACTGCCATAACAAGAACCAAAATTTCTGGAATTAGTTTTGATAATAAGAGGCAGAAATCAAGCCAACTGCCATGGAAGGCTAAACAATGGTAACCCACACACCATGTAGTGGAAAAGCATTTGGTAAAACTGCTTGCCTTTGGGACTCTGGAAAAAGAAAACATACCTAAAAAACTTTTAGTTTTGGGTGAGGAAGTATGAAGGAAGAATGTTGAAAGCAGAAACTGGTTGCTACTAGATGAGCTTTGTGAGGTACTGCAGGTAAGAAGAGAGAAACTCAGCAAAGAACCAGCCAGTTTGCAAACAGAACTGAGAAGGATATTAGGGAGTTCAGAAATTGCAGGGCAGAGTTATACAATGAAATTGTTTCTTACAAAATAAAAGATGTGGCCATTATAACAGAGCCTCAGGGCGCAGACCAAACCCAAGGTGCTGCTAATATGACACAGTCTTGGAGTGAAAAGTGTGTCAAGGGTAACATCTTTTGTTAAGACATCTGAAAAGGCTTAAGATGGAAGCTAGTAGGTCTCTTCAGGTGGGCAAAGAGGCTCTTAGAAAAGGTTATAAGACTTGTTCCTACAGAAGTCTGATGTCTCAGAAGTACCCATAATTAAGTCAACTCCAAAATGGAGTTGACTAAAATCACTTTCATAGAAAATCCACATTTGTGAGAGAGCTCTATTGGCAAAAACCCTGCCAGCCTGATGAAAAGAGACGAAGACTGTTAGAGATGTAAAAACACCTCTTGGGCAGGTGCTCACACCTCTAATCCTAGTGCTTTGGGAGGCTGAGGCAGGAGAATTGCTTGAGGCCAGGAGTTGGAGACCAGCCTTGAGCAACATAGTGAGACCCTATCTCTACAAAAAATTTTTTTTTTTAATTAGCGAAGCATGGTGGCACACACCTGTAGTCCCAGATACTTGGGAGGCTGAGATGGGAGTATCATTTGAGCCCAGGAGTTCCAGGTAAAAGTGAACTATGACTGTGTCACTGCACTATAGTTTGGGCAACAGGGCAAGACCACGTCTAAAAAATAAAGAACTTTGCCCTCCAATTTTCTTTCTTTTTAAAATTTATTTATTTTACAAAAGCATCAGATTAGTGAAAATTTTGTTAAAGTTATTTGTTTATTTTTACAAAATACCCTCCAACTTTCCATAGTCAGAAAGCCTATACAGAAATCTGCTTATTGCCAAGAAGGGCATATATATATATATATGTATATATATATATTTTTTTTGTATAAAAATATGTGTTTATAAATATAAATGTTTTTATATATAAAACATATCTATAATATATACTTATTTATATATTTATATATAATACATATGTTTAAATGTGTTTTATATGTTATATAAACATATAAACTATGTACTTATATATTATATATAGTACATATTAAATATATATTACACATATATATTTGTACATAAAATCTTGACCTCATGAGGATCAGATTTGTTGTCAAGTGCTGCGATTGGATGAGATTTTGTGGGTCTAATGATGGAAAGTGAGTGCATTTTGAAGGTGGGGGTATATGTTAATAATTGGGACCTATAGGGCAGACCATGGTAAATTAAATTGCTGGTCCCAATTCTTCACTCCTTGGTGGCAATATCTTATATCTACACACTTGCCATCACCATGGCCTCTAAGAGGGTGGATACACTTCCCTGCATCTTGACTTTAGTCTTTGGCATGTGGCTTGCCTTGGCCAGTGAGATGATCGTTGAAAAAATGTGAGCAGGCATTTGCTCCTATGGTTAGACTTTTACTCGTGTGCTCCAGAGAAAAACATTCCCAAAGTGAACACTTTAGCTGCTCCCTTAGACTGGGCCCAGGACTGAAACCCATGGAGCAGATTATATGCACCGGGATCTGCTGGGTTTAGACGTATGAGACACTCCATGCCTGAGCTCGGGATGGAGAAAACCTGAGTGCACTAGAAGCTTGGTGCTCAGAACTGAGAGCTCCAAGGCAGGAGTCCAGCCTATCCCAACCTGCTGACCTTTGATTATGTGAAGAAATGAGAGTTTTTTAAGCCACTGAGTTTTGGGTGTTTTGTTATCCAACATTGCTGCAATAATAGCTTGATAATACAAGTAACATTAGAGTACTATATCAAAGCTGTTTTTTAGACTAATGGCTTTAATTTCAGTGTGAGTAGCATTAGTACAGAAGCATCACACTTCCAAACTATGGTCACCAGAGTGCCCAATCTTTTGGCTTCCCTGATTCACATGGAAAGAGAAGAATTGTCTTGGGCCACACAAAAAATACACTTACACTAATGATAGCTGATGCACACACACCCAAAAAATGGCAAAACAATCTCATAATGTTTTAAGAACGTTTATGAATTTGTGTTGGGCCACATGTGGCCTGTGAGCCATGGGTTGAACAAGCTTGGTCTAGAAGCTTTCATAAGTATCTGGAATTTCTCTGTTTGGGAATTACTATCAAAAGAAGACATGCAGCTGTATCACTAAAGTCGGTTTCAAGTCAGAAACATGAACACAAATTATCCCAACCTGAGGAAAATTAAGATGACCTTTGCATGTTCTTTTCCTCCGTGAGGTTTCTCTCCCAGCACATGCAGCCAGATGGTATTTGGTGCAGACAATGGAAGTGGCAACCCAGATATTAACAAAAGACAAAAAGTGTTAAGCACTTAACACTAAGTTGTAGGTTCCACCAGCTTTGGTGACTGGTTACCTCTTTGAAGGCATGGTTGAGAAGCCCCAATTGCAGCTGTGCTGGTAGGACTTTTTGTTAATCATAGTTTTGATTTCTACAGGCTTTTTTCTTTTTTCTCTCATTTTTCCTTTTCCTAAGCCAACTGTTTTTATTTTATGGGTGCAATATTTTTCTTGTTTCTCTGGGTATTCATTATCATTTGTTTTGTCGTTTTAGTTTTCTTCTTTTGTCTGTGCTGTCTCTGCTTTCTCCGAGTTACTTTTCTGAGGCTGCTGTGTTGGTTTTTCTCCTTTTTGTTTGAGGCTTTCTTCAAATGCTGTGGTCCTTAACTGTCCACTCCTGTATAAGAGTGAGGCACTAAAAGGCTGATTGGAAGCTCTATGTGTTTGATGGGACTGACTGACTAGTGGGCTTTCTTCCCGGGGATCACCTGGGATAATGGGTCAGTGAACTGAACTTTTCGCTGGGGGACCATTAAATGACAGTAGGTGGAGAGTTTTTCTCCACAGGAGACCTTTCAGTTTCTCCAGAGAGGAGTTTTCAACATCTTGCCTGGGAGAGTATGTTCTGGCCTGTGTGTCATCATGGAGCAGGGTTAGAGGAAGCAAGTTGATGTGCTCTGGGTTCAATATAGAGATACTCACTGCTCCACCTGCAGTCTCACAGTCTCAACCCACATCCCTCTCCACCCAGTGTCACAGAGTTCTAGATTTCTCCAGTTAAGTTTTTCTAGAAAATGAACCTCTGTTCCCTTGCAGGGAAGAAGAAGGAAAGTTTCTGACAGTAGAGGTTTGGGGAGGGCCAACAGCCCTGGGTACAACCCAAGGTCCCCGTTTCCAGCCTTTTTTGCCCCACATGGCACCTCTAGCTAATAAGCCTGTAGGGCCTTCTGGGGAACCCACAGCCTCACTCCCATGGGACCTCCTTGCTGAAAGGACTGACATGTAGCTCACTCCATCTCCAATTTTCCAAACTTCTTGGAAATTCCAAAAGTAAGTTTGACTCTTTCATATGCTTCTGTCACCTCTTTTATTATTTTTGCTCTTTTGGGATAATAATTTTGAACATTCTCTTTCATTTCCTTCTAGCAGGGCTTTGGCAAAGAAAGGACCTAAACATCCATGGTCCATTTGCCATATTGAAGCGGAAGTCAATTTTCAACTTTTCACATATTCTCTGAAATTTCTAGTACAATAATGTATATAAAATAACCACTCAGAATAAACTTGTCAACAAACATAGGTATGAAAACATGAATATAGCCCTATAGGTTTGTGTGGCTGTGTGTATGCATGTATGTGTGGAAGTATATCTCCTCTAAGTAGTGCCTAGGCTCATCAGGCCATATACATTTATGGAAAAATTGCAATAACTGCAAACTTCCATATATTCAGTAACTCAAGACCATTTTCAAAGTGACTCCTAGTTATTTGTTTCTAGCATTTTAGTTAAGTGTGATATGTGCCTGGAAACAAGACTCTTTTCTATAACCACTATGAGACATGCAGAGTTCCACCGCCCTGTCTGCTGTTCACCATGGCCACTGTGTTCCAATTAAGAGAAGCCAAGAAAATGATCTCATGATGCTTGCCAAATGGTCAGCCACTGGTGTGCTGGACCACTTCTGGGTTCTATGCGGGCATGTACAGAAATGCCCTCTTTCCATCCCCCTGCCCTATTTTATGTTTTTGTTGTTCTTGTTATTGTTTTGTTTGTTTGTTTTTTGAGATGGAGTCTCCTCTGTCTCCCAGGCTGGAGTGCAGTGGCGCAATCTCAGCTCACTGCAACCTCTGTCTCCCAGGTTCAAGCGATTCTCTTGTCTCAGCCTTCTGAGTAGCTGGGATTACAGGTGCATGCCACCATGCCCAGCTAGTTTTTGTATTTTTAGTAGAGACAGGGTTTCACCATGCTGGTCAGGCTGGTCTCAAACTCTTGAATTCATGATCCACCCGCCTCGGCCTCCCAAAGCGCTTGGATTGCAGGTGTGAGCCACCATGCCCAGCCCCTATTTTATTTTATATAGACTTCAAGTCATTACTGCTTATGCCTGGAGTCTTAAATCATGTATATGAGAACAGTTCCATCTGTCTCAGCCCTTACCTAGAGTTTCCAAAAATCTCTTATGAAAACAGGTTGCTTACCTCTGTGGCTCATCTTCTTAATTACAGTTGCTGAAATTCAGTCCAAAGGGAGAGAGCAGATGCCATGGTTCTTGTATCCTCTGCTGTCTTCTTTCCTCTTCTCCTTCTGAGATTTACCCATTACTAAACTCTTTCACTTCCCCAGTTTTAAACAAATCCCATTGCATATGAGTGGATGCCACCACAGAAACCACCAATTAGAGGGGTGGTTATTTAAAGTAGGAGAAGCTGAGCCTCCCATCAACCCTCCATATTGCTTGGAAGCATATGTGTGTATGTGTGTGTGTGTATTTGTGTGCACATACATGGGTGTTTCTTTCCAAATTCTCCTATGCTTGGGGCTGGTGGTTAAAGAGATAAAGACTTTCTTTGGTTCATAGTTTTCAGCAGTCTCTTTAGAGTGTTGAATAGTATAGTACATTTTCTAGATAACCCTTTTATTATTTAATTAAAATTTTCCTGCAAGGGTAAAGAAGATGATACATAACTAAAGCAAATGTGCATTCCGTTTGCTGAGATTAGAGATTGGCATGCCTTTGGTTTGTCCTACAATGTCATGATTGAGCTGTGGGCACATGGTCCAGTTTCTCTTTAGTGATGACACAGTAGGGCCTATAAGAAAACTAGGTAATTCTAATTCTTATGAAACCTTGGATCAATTTGAAAGAGAAATAAGAAACCAGAGGGCAAATAGGTATGATTTTCAGTGCACTGAAAACTCTAGCAAGCAAATATTGATTTCAGTGCCTAATCCACAAATGAGTATATCGATCCTATCCTTTTTGTTGAAGGTGCCAAGTTTCATTTTCTACTCAATTGACGACTATAATTTAGGAGTAGGTGGCCTGATTAAGTGAGCTGTTGCAAGTCTAATGACTTACTTTTAAGATCCCATGGTGTGCTCTGACTTTTGAAAAATCTCAACATCCTTTAGGCCCAGAAGGATAAGGAAACTTCATTGATTCTTTTAACAGTGGTATATTAAAACATTACCAGCAATCAAAAGGGACCTCATTAGAAAAAAATGTAAATGATGACATCCCTAGGAGGCATTTTTGTTCTCCAAATTGCTGAGCTTTTTTCTCTTGCTTCTCACAGCAGTAACTCTGATATTCCAAAGAGGAAAATGAAAAAAGTTGCTCAAACTATCTCATGTTGGCCTTTCATGATATATTGTGACAGTTGTGGGGATGAAGTTGAAACTGCTTTTGCAAAATCATGGCAGTAAGGGAAAGATGACATAGTTGATTCCATCTTCCTTCTGATTTTCAAGCTGTCCTTGGTCCAACCTAACTTTCGGGGGAATTTAGTTTATAGTTTAACTTAAAAGCAAGGATGATAATAGGTCCTCCCTAAAACTGATATCCTCCTTGTTCAGCTTGTTCAGGGACTGAAAACACCTTTGTAAAACTAATGAGAGGTCACAAGATTATGGGAGGAGGAGGGATGCACTTGAATGCAGGTTCCTGATATCTTTGGAAATTGTGTCATTAGAATAGAGGGAAAACTTCCAGGATGCTCACGGAGAGATAATGCATCCATAAGGACTACTGTCCCAATATCTAGTAGAACAGGAATTAATTGCATGACCTGAACTAATAGAAGACTGAAATAATCTTTTTATAACTTTTTGCTTAAAACGTTGCTGATTCTTGGCTCACGTCTGTAATCTTAGCACTTTGGGAGGGAGAGGCAGGTGGATTGCCTGAGCTCAGGAATTCGAGACCAACCTGGCCAACATCATGAAACCCCGTCTCTACTAAAAATACAAAAAATTAGCCGGGCATTGTGGCATGCGCCTGTAGTCCCAGCAACTTGGGAGGTTGAGGCATAAGAATCACTTGAACTCAGGAGGCAGAGGTTGCAGTGAGCCAGCCAAGATTACACCACTGCACTCCAGCCTGGGTGACAGAGTGAGACCCTGTCTTAAAAAACAAAACAAAACAAAAAACAAATGTTGCTGATTCTTTTTGTTTTGTTTTGTTTTGTTTTCAGAGTCAAGCAAGCTTCTTTTGAGTAATTTACAGTTTTTGACAATTGAGTAAATACTCCTGTGAGCAAAATTTGAAGCACATTTTTTTCTCTCTACCTGATTTTGAGGCAGGATAGGTAGTCAAAGAAGTGATCATGTCCTTGGGACACAGCAACCATGGTGACTGTACAGTTAACACAACAAGCCTGATCATTCATGTTGTAATAGAGCTCACTCAAGCAAAGCTATCTTCAGAAGGGACTTTCCCTTCTAGAGAGCATGAACATTTTGATTTTACCTGTCCTCAAACTGACCCTTTCCTCATTATAATAGTAAAAATCACACCCTAGGTGGAGATTTAAGATACCAATGAGACATGCAACATATGAACAAGCAGGTACAGCTATTGCACATGTGCACCCAGAGGACCACCCAGAACATGCTTACTAGTTACACCTGTTTCCACCTCCTTATGAATAATCATGTAAGACCCTCATAAATGGAGTCTCCTTAGAGCTGGTCTTTGTTGTCTCATCCTTACGAGCATCCTGCCCTGAATTCTCTCTTTCAGGGTGTACTGTCTATTCTGCACCTAACTTTCAGAATATTCCTTTTCTTTGGCAATAAATTACTCTATGCTGCATTTCTTTTGCTGTGTGTCTCTTGCTTAAATTCTTTTAAACCAGAAGACAAGAACTGAGGTATCACATCCGCCATTAAAAATTTCTCCAGAATTTGGAAACGATATGTGAATAATCTTAACTTATGGCAATATAGTTACTTGCAGAAGTTCAGTAAGAATCAGTTTTCTTTTGTAGCAGGACGCATTTGGAGAGACTGCTTATTTTATCAAGGCTCTGACTGGAATGACATGTCTTCAGATTGCTTTGAGGAATTGAGGTTGACCTATAAAGCCAGCAAAAGCCCTTTGAAAAAACTGGCCTCATACCTTATCCTGTACAGAGTTCCTGACCTGTGGCAACTGTAGCATGTCACTTTTTGACAGACCCCGAAACCCTAAGCTATTTTGAGACCTCAAGAAGAGAGGAACTCACCCAATTCATACAGGTATTTGGAGGCACAAATAAATCCTTGTCTGGTATCAAGAGGCTTTTAAAAGGCCTAATTTGAGATTCTTTATTAAAACAATTCCAAAAAAAGCCACTTTTTAAAAAAAAGATCCTATACAGCAAATAATTATTTTTGTTGTACTTTATGCAAATAATCAGGCCACATATAATGGGGTTGGAACTTATTTTGCAAATAAATTTGTCCTACTATGATTTGTCCTTGATACAAATGGGTGACTGGGGAGAGAAAAATTCTGTAGGAGAAAAACCATAGTATACCTGTTATTAAATTCCAGCTTTGTCCATTGTTGTTGAGTCTCTGCTGATTACCTCATATCTGATTGGTTCTTGGGGGTCATTCACCTGGATCCCTTAAGACTTCATATCAGTTCTGCAGGAATTCCTGAAGCTAGAGTTTTCATTCTTTATGTTAGGACTCATTATTTGTCTTATAGCCCACTGCTTACTTGAGTGCTGTCCTAAAGCTCCGGATAAGAGCTTTTTGTCATGCAGAACTTGGGACTCCAACCAGCCACCCATGAATACATACAGACAACTACAAGATGGTTTCACTCCTCTTACCCTGGGGGTGATCCATACCCCAACTATGCCTCCTGTCAACAGGAAGAAGTTAGAGAAATTTTTGACCTTTTCTTATCTCCGTAGCTCACAGCTCTGGATTGAGGTGTGCTGAAGCACAAGCTGGGATTTGAAAACACATTTGCAAAATTATGACAGCAAGAGAAATATGACATTGTTGACTCCATCTTGCTTCTGACCTCCAAGCTGTCCTTGGTTACTCCCGGGTGTAGGCCAGCTACCAAATTTGGGAGGAATTTAGTTTATAGTTTAATTTGAAAGCAAAGATGATAATAGTCTCTCCCTAAAATGAACTCCTTCCTTGCTCAGGGACTGAAACTACCTTTGTAAGACTAATGAAAAGCCACAAGAATAGGATCATGGGATAAGCCTGAACTCTGCTAAGATGTAGGTATAGTTTCTATAATCCTTTACTGCTCAGGAATCGTGTGGCCAGAGGTCACAAGATTTGTGACTTCCTCAATTGCTCCTATAGATAACATCACTATTTTAGAACCTAAGATTGTTTTTTTGAGATATCTTTCAGACTGACCCCACCCAGACTCATGACTCATGACTCCACTGCACCTGTGACCTCCACTCTGAAGGGGACTCAGCACAGAAGTATCGTTTTCCACACCTCTATGATTTTATCTCCAACCAATTAGCAACACTCATTCCTTAGCCCCCTGCCCACCAAATTTTCCATAAAGACCGTAGTCTCTAAGTCTTTAGGGCGACTGATTTGAGTGGTAACTCCAGTTCTGTGTGGGCTGGTCTTCTGTCAGTTAACCTCTTTCTCAACTGCCATGCTGCAGTCTCAGTGGATTGATTTTGCCTGTGCAGCAGGCAAGAAGAACCCATTGGGTGATTACAAAGTATTATTCAAAACAACTATTTAGCCGGAAACTAGTCTATGCTAGGTATTCAATACACATACTTTCAATATTTAGGGTGAGAAGAACATATGAAATAAAAAAAGCATTTTTTTTGTATATTTCTTTACTTTATTTCAAGGTTACAAAAGCATCTCTTACAAATCAATGCTGATTGCATTTCAGATATCAGAGGAATGCAAAAACTTGTGGTCTCATCTGAGAATAGAGGGTGCCATTGCAGAGAGAATAAAATAATGGGGTTCACATGCAAGTGCAAGAATTCAGAAGACCTTTCTTCTAAGGAGGACTCCCAACTAGGCAGTTACCAGGTTTCTTCTGTGAACTCTGTGTTGAAGTTTCCTGGTTTCATAAAGATTTTAAACTCTGGAGGTACAGGAACAGGTATGGAGGAGATTTAGAAAAGGAATCTTTTTTTTTTTTAAAGAATAGCTCAACAGTTACTAGTTAGTTTGGTACTTATGGCCCTGAGCTGCTGGCTGGAGGACGTGGCTTCTGCTTTTAGCTACACTTGCAGTAATAATAATGAGCTGGGTTCCAACATGGGGCACCCTCTCTGGACTCATATACATTTGTTTGAAAGTAGCAGTGGAGAGGAGTGGTTGTCTCCTCCTTCGCTCTGCCTCCTCTCTGCACCACTGTAGCCCTGGGGTGGGCTCAGCAAGGTGCCTGAAGCTAAGGGAGATCAGATAGTCAGTGCTTGGGTCTGTTCCCATGGAGACCTGGCTTTTACTGCACAGACCAGGTGGCTTTTTCTCGGCCACTGCACCAGGCACAGAGGGTGGCAGCCCACACCCTCTTCCCAGGAGCAGAGAAGGAGCAGATGGCCATGTGCTTCTCAAGGACAGAGCCTGTGGGGCTTGCCAGCCAGTTGCAAAAATGAATCTAAATGAAAAAGAGTTTTTAGGATAAAACTGAAAAGATTATGCTCTTTATACTAAAGCAATATGACTTTTTGGACAGAGAAAAAAGTATTGAGCTGAACATTAACGTGATGGGCAGGCTAGAAAGACCAATACAGTCTCTCAGTGTGCATCTTGAAATCCCAAGATGCCCTGAAGTGAGGGAGAAGAAAAAGAGGTTGATTTTCCAGGGTGTATGTTTCTCATCCTTTACACACACAACAAAATCAGAAAACTTTTAAATGGAATACCCCTTCAGCCTTTTCAAATATAATTTCCAAGAAGATAAAATAATTAAGATGGGTAGTTAAGAATAAAAATCGTGGAGAAGAGGAAAAATGCTCTTTGAGGAGGGAATAGATTAAAGGCGTATGTATCCAGAATTTAGTACTGCTAAATTTAGGAAGCTGCTTCATACCCCAATAGCGATCATGGCTCACATAGCCTTGATCTTCCAGGCTCAAGCTATACTCCCACCTCAGCCTCCTGAGTAGTTGGGACAAAGGCATACACCACCTTGCCTGGTTAATTATTTTCATTTTTAATAGAGAAGAGGTCTTGCTATGTTGCCCAGGCTGGTCTTGAACTCCTGAGCTCAAGCAATCCTCTTGCCTGGGACTCTCAAAGTGCTAGGATTACAGGCATGAGCCACTGTGCCTGGCCGTGTTTTATTTTTGTAGCTATTGTAAATGGAATTGTTGTCTTGATTTCTTTTTCAGCTACTTCGTTACTGGTGTATAGAAACATGACTGATTTTTGTGTGTTGATTTTGTATCCTAATACAAAATACAATTGATTGATACAATTTGTCAGTTTCAGAAGTGGGGATGAAGAAAGATTGGTTCATAAGTATAAACATACAGTTAGATAGAAGGAATAAGTTCTATTGTTTGATATTATAGTTAACAACAATATATTGCATATTTCAAAATAACTAGAGGAGAAAAATTAAAATGTTCCCAAAACAAAGAAATGACAAATATTTGAGGTGATGGATTATATAATACTAATTACTCTGATTTGATCATTACACATTGTATGCATGTATCAAAATACCACATTACCCCATAAATATGTAACAATATTATATATCAATTAAAAACAGAGAAAGAAAGGAAGGTTTGCAGTTGAAGTCTTAAGAGAACAACCACTGATAAAGTCTTCTGAGCTCGGAGGGAGTTGACTTTGATATTACTCCCATTAGTAACATAGCTGCTTTTAGGGGGAAGGATTCTACTCCGAGCTCACCCCTGTAAGAGCATAAGCTCCCTGTGCTCAGGAAACCAGCAGCTCACACAGGACGTGGCACCTGTACGCATCTGGTAACCATCTGTGGAATGTTGACCTGGCAAGAGATCACCTGTTTTCTCTTTTGTGGGAAAGGAGTGAGGCAGGCGTGTAAAGAAGCAGTTTAGTTTAGCTATGCTGAATATCTTTATAGGGGAAAATTCAGAAATCAATCCCCAGACCTGCTTCCCATTTAGCATGGCAATCCCCTCTCTGGCCTCCTTACCCCCACTCTGCAATTCTAATTACTACCGCATGTTGAAACAAAACCTCACTTCTCTTAGCTTTCTAAAGTAGATGCTGCTTCTAACCGCAAACAAATCTGCTGTTTTACCAGACAACTCTCCAAACATTTGAAGGCAATGATCCTATCTGCCTTCAGTTTTCTCTTGTTGGGGGTAAACAAACTACTTCTGCTTCCTAGATCTCTAAATACACCTTCTCTGAGCATATCATACTGAGCAAATATTTCTCTTAAAATATAGAAATTAAAATGGAACAGGTAATGTTACAGTTACAATAGATGGGCATAGAATTTTGATCTATAATCTTACTTTCTATCCCTTGGACACAGAGGATGACAATATTGGCTTTTTTGGCAGGGAGGGGCAGGGAACAGGGAGGTGGGGGTGAATTAATTACCTCATACAATTGACCCATTTTTAAATTGTGGCCCCAAAAAAGTCAGATTCCTTTTAAAATGTATTGCTGCAAAGTCAGATCTCTTTCATTTTGTATTTGTGATTCTAATTTTTTTATATTAAATGCCAGATTACGTTTTCATTTCTGTTGAGTATCCTTTCATTGGTTTCAATCTCTTTGGTAGGATGATTTTGACTTTTGAATTAAGAGTTTACCGTAGGAGATATCCGTCCAAACGATGAGGCACATCTACATTTATCGACTTTGCTTTGTCTTCAATCAAAAATAAAAATGGCAAAGGACCTAGGTCCAAGAAGTAAGTCTAGGTCAAGCTCGGTGGCTCATGCCTGTAATTCCAGAACTTTGGGAGGCCGAGGCTGGCGAATCACCTGAGGTCAGGAGTTTGAGACCAGCCTGGCCAATATGGTGAAACCCTGTCTCTACTAAAAATACAAAAAATTAGCCAGGCATGGTGGAGGGCACCTGTAATCCCAGCTACTAGGGAGGCTGAAGCAGGAGAATCGGTTGAACCTGGGAGGCAGAGGTTGCAGTGAGCTGAGATCTTCCCACTGTACTCCAGCCTGGGCAACAGAGTAAGACTCTGTCCCAAAAAAAGAAAAAAACAATGAGTCTAGAGATGCTTTGCTAGAGACCTTTTACAGGTTGAAAAGAAGCCATCGGATAATGTCTCTGCCAGTAGCTTTCTTTAACATGAGGCATCTAATGAAAACGGCTGTCCTCCTACCCTCCCAGCAACTCCTTAATCAAAGGGATATCACAGGGCTTTCTGTTGAATGGTATGCTGAACTCAAGTTGTATAGTAGCCTTGGTATACCTCTAATCTATCCTAAGCCTAATGACAAAGAAATCATTATTTTAAATATCTCGTTCTTAGTAAATCCATATTGGACTCCAGGAACAACCCATTTTTTTTAATGGATCACAATCTGTTTATTTAATAATTTATTCTCAATTGTTCCCAGAGATGAACGTCAATCTCAAAAGTCTTCAGTACCTGAAATCTGGTCATTCTCCCCATTTAGAAAACTAGAATCACATTTGTCTGTCTGTCAGCTTCTCTGAATTTCTCTCTCATGTATCTCTCCTCCTTATTTGCCACCATCTTCTTTCTAGTTCCTCATTAACTCATCTGTAACTTGCTACACACTTTATTTGTATAAACAAAATTATTCATTATGCTTTGGTTCTAAATATATTAGAAAACTATTTAAACTTACTTTTAATGTTTGCTATAGGGAGGCAACTGTCAAACTACTGCAATGAATATTAAAAATCATACTGAGATTATTATAGCGTTGGGGGAAAATGACAAGATTTTAAGTGAGAAATTATTTTTTAACACCCCATTATGTTTATTAAAGTTTAGCTACATTGGAAAATAGTTAACAGTAAGAACAATCATTGCCTTCTGTCCCTGCCATATTTTATTACTTCTCACAATTGTCTAACCATGTTCACATTTTGGATGAATAATAAAGCAATTCAACAGTAACAACAATCTGATTCTTGTTTTGCATTGAAGGAGAGGAAAAACAACACAGGAAATCTGCCTTCTATAATCAAAGAGTTGAATTTTAGCCTTATTGGAAATGTGTTTCAACCCAATTACTTAGAAGCCTTGTTTTTTGTTTGGTTTCCTGGGTGGTTAATATGCAGTATCTTTGGCTTCTCCGCTAGAAAAAGAGGAAATGATTTACAACTTGGAGCCAAAAATAAATAAAACACTTTTTCACTCCAAGGGACTTGCTTCACTAACTCTTTTCTTTCTTTTTGTTTTTCTTTTTTTTTTTTTGAGATGTAATCTCACTCTGTCACCCAGGCTGGAGTGCAGTGGCACAATCTCAGCTCACTGCCAGCTCCACCTCCCAGTTCACGCCATTCTCCTGCCTCAGCCTCCCGAGTAGCTGGGACTACAGGCGCCTGCCACCAGGGCTAATTTTTTGTATTTTTAGTAGAGACGGGGTTTCACCATGTTAGCCAGAATGGTCTCGGTTTCCTGACCTCATGATCCACCCACCCCGGCCTCCCAAAGTGCTGGGACTACAGGCGTGAGCCACTGCATCAGGCCAACTCTTCTCAATTAAAGCTTATCTCCTGCTTAAAGTAGTATTGGATTATAACCCAAAGTATGAAATAAGCACCTATGAGTCTATACTAACCATGACAAAAATATCAGATACATTCTAATACAGGGCATTCTACACTATACCTGGCCAGTAGTTCTTCACACTGTCAAGATCATTGAAAACATGGAAAGTCTTAGAAACTGTCACAAAGAAGATCCTAAAAAGTCATGCCAACTAAATGGAAGGTGCTGTCTGCATGGGATTATTGAACAACAACAAAAAATGACATTAGGAAGAAGCCAAGGAAATGTGAATACTGGTTCCCAATAATATATCAGTATTGATTCATTAATTATATAATTTAAAAATTAAAAGCTATCAACATTATGCATGCATATTAAAAACCTTAAAGGATGCAAGTCACCAAACTCCCTTAAGAATCTGATAGCAGCCCTACTATACATATGAGGATTACAGAGTGGCCTCTGCTCTGGTCTTACATACATATATATATTTGTTTGGTTGTTTGGTTTTTAGATAGAGTCTCACTTTGTCATCCAGGCAGAAAGGCAATGGTGCAATTTCAACTCACTGCAACCTCTTCCTCCTGGGCTCAAGTGATCCTTCCACCTCATCCTCCTGAGTAGCTGGGACTACAGACATTCACCACCACACCTGGCTAATTTGTGTTTTTTATGTTTATCGTTTGTAGAGATGGGGTCTCACTATGTTGCTTGGGCTGGTCTAGAACGCCTCAGCCAAGGGATTCTCCCACCTCAGCCTCCCAAAGTGCTGAGATTACAGGCATGTGCACCATGCCCAGCCTTATATTTTTTTCTGTTGATGCATGCTACACTACTTTATTCCATTCTTCCTCTGCTGGAAAGTCTGCTTCTTGCCTTAAATCTGCAAATAGTCAAAAATTATCCCAACTGATCTTTATAGATCAATGTATTAGTTTCCATTTGCCACTGTAACAAATAGTCACAAAACGTGGCTTAAAGCAACACAAATTTATTATCTACGGTTCTGGAAGTCAGAAGTCCAAGATGGGTCTCACTGGGCTAAAAATCAAGGTGTAGGTAGATCTCTCTGTCTTCTTCTTTCTCTTTTTCTTTTTTATTTCGAGACAGAGTCTGGCTCTGTTGCGCAGGCTGGAGTGCAGTGGTGCTATCACAGCTCACTTCAGCCTTGACCTCCCCAGGTCAAGTGATCCTCTTGCCTCAGCCTTCCAAGTAGCTGGGACTACAAGTGTGCACCACCATGGCTGGCTAATTTTTTCATTTTTTGTAGAGACACGATCTCACTATGTTGCCCAGACTGGTCTCAGACTCCTGGGCTCAAGTGATCCTCCTGCCTCCGCCTTCCGAAGTGCTGGGAAGTACAAGAGAGAGCCATCATGCCTGGCTGGTATAGGCAGTTCTAGGTTTCTTTCTCGGGGGGTCTTGGGGGATAATCTGTTCTTTGACTTTTCCAGCTTCTAGTGTCTGTCTGCATTTCTTGGCTCATGTTCTTTCTCTCATCTTCAAAGCAAACAATGGCCCATAAGGTCATTTTCATGATGCCATCTCTGTTTCTGACACTTCTGCCTCTCTCTTCACCATTTAAGAACTTTGAAATTACAATGTGCCCACCAGCATTTTACAAAATCATCTCTCCAGCTCAAGGCCAGTTGATTAGCAAATGTAATTCCACCTGCAACCTGAACTCCTCTTTTCCATGCAACGTACATATTCACAGGTTCTAGGGATTAAGACATGGATCTCTTCGGGGGGCCTATTATTCTGTCAATCACAAGCAACCTTTTTAGAAGGTTTTGCAGCTCTCCATGTTCTGAAGGAAACTGGCTTAAATTTCTGTTGTCTATAATGCTTTTACTCCATTGCATTTTTTTTCTGAGCACTTTTGGATTATTTTGTTTTTCCTCTGGAATCTCCCTGCCAGCCTTCCCTACTTACTTTGGCGATGGATGGTTGCTTCAACCTTTTTTGGCCAGCAGAATTTAAATTCCCCTTGGAGCCTGAGTCATGATTGTTATTTGTTTTTGGGTGGGAGGGCAGCATCGATTCTCAAAAGACATACCTTAACAAAATGGAAAGAAAAAATAAATAGTAAATCAGAATAGTTTGGTATATATTAAAATAACCAGCTCTATTATTTAAAATGTTTCTAGGCAAAGCTTTTCACTGTGACGACTTAGGCAAAAAACTTGACTGAAAGCAAAATTACTGGAAGCTGATTCAGTTTTTGAGGAAACAGTATTTCCAAAGAAACCCCAGTCTATCTTGTGACACTGTGAAACACAGTCAAATGTTGCTTAATGACAGGGATACATTCTGAGAAATGCATCATTGAGTGATTTTAGCGTTGTGTGAACATCATAGAGTGTACTTACTCAAACCTAGATTGCATAGCCTACTACACACCAGGCTATATGGTAGATAGTCTATTGCTCCTAGGCTACAAACCTGTATAGCATGTTACTGTACTCAATACTGCAGGCAACTGTAACACAATAGTAATTCTTTGTGTATCTAAACATAGAAAAGGTACAGTAAAAATATGGCATTATAATCTTATGGGACCACCTTATTATATGAGATGCATGTCTGTATATATTTGTTCTTCATCCCAGTTTCTTGACATATAGATCCTAAAACCCTTGGAATCTCAGGAGTAATAAGAATGTCTTTTGAATGCTAATGAAATAACTAGGTGCCCCTAGTCAGCTTCAGGATTAGAAGGTTGAGACTTTCATTCTCACCCCTAACCTCCAGAGCAGGAAGAGGGGCTGAAGATTAAGTTGATCACTGATGACCAATGATAATCACTGGTCATTAATCATTCATGGCTATGTAACTGACCACAGGTTCTTGGCTGTTGTGTTATAGAAACTGACATGAGGTCTAGCAAGTTTCCCAGACAAGGCTTTTATTGGGTCTTATGTTTGAATACAAGGGAGGCAGCACAAGCGAGATAATTATCTGGCTGGCTCCCTGAAGAGAGTACGGAGAGTAATTTTAAAGGAGCTAAAGTGGGCTGGGAGTGATGTTTAAGCATGTAGAGGCTGGAAACTTCCGGCACCTGCACAGTTTGATAATATGCTTCTTCATGCATTGCATATCTCATTCACATGTTAAATCTCCACCCCTGGATGTGATTTTTTAGTGTTATAATGAAGCTAAGGTAAAGGATTGGTCATTCTTCTGGTCTTGTACGCATGCAGGAGATAGGGCTAATGCCCTTGAGTAAGTTTTAAAGTGGGAGCTGCTTGTTTAAATTTCCTCGAGGTCCCACAGTCAGTGAGTATGGCACCTTGAGTAAGACTTATGGTGGGCCATTTCTTATCTTAGTCTCCTTAAGGCCCCTTGATCAGTGAGCATGGCACGTTGAGCAAGATTAATGGTGCAAGATCTGGATGGTCCTTGCTGACCATGGCTCCCCTCCCCACCAGCTTACATTAGGGGTCCTTGGTGGGGTGCAGTGGGTGGGAGGCAAGTCTTGTATGTACTCTGTCTCATCTGTGTAATGAATTCTCTATAAAAACTCCAAAAGACAAGGTTCAGGAGCTTCTAGGTAGCAGAACACAGGGAGAGTTTTGGAAGGTGGTGTACCCAAGGCGGGCATGGAAGCTCTGTGCCCCTTTCTCCATACGTTACCTTGTGCATCTTGTCATCTGTACCCTTTGTAACATTCTTTGTAATAAGCTGATAAGTGTGTTTCCCTGAGTTATGTGAGTCACTCTAACAAATTCATCAAATTCCAGGAGGGAGTTATTGGAACCTTGATTCATAGCCAGGCAGAAGAGTAGTTGACAACCTAGTACTTGTGACTGAGTCTAAGTAGGGAGCATTCTTGTGGGACTGAGCCTCTGACCTGTGGGATCTGATGCCATCTCCAGGAAGATAGAGTCAGAATTGAATTGAATTAGAGGACACCCAGCTTGTGTCTACTGCAGAATCCACTACAGAATCTGCAGGATTTTTTTTTCCGGTGTGTAGGGAAAACCCCCCATACATTTGGTGTCACAAGTGGTATTGAGTGACTATGTGAGAGTGTGGACTAGAAAAACGTAGTTCAATTTTTCCTATAGCCTATATTTGGTGTCAGGAGTGTGTATAAAAAAAGAAAAAACACTTTGCTTTGGGTTTCTCTTATCTATTAATGCATTAATAGTCTGTCGATAACCAAAGCAATGAATTTGCCCTGCCCCTACCTCTCCTCCCCTTGCACAAAATGTGCTGCAAATCTTGAAGCCTCAAGAAGAGAGTACTCTCCAATGCCTGCCTTGGATACAGACACGGAGGAAAGTGGAAGAGGGTTATGCTGAGGAAGGACCTCACAGAGGGCAAATGAGAAGCCACAGAGAACAATGCCCAAAGGCACTAAAAATCCAAGAAGTGAAGAGACTGCGGCTGGTCTACCCAATGTACCTATTTCCCTTCTTCCTTAGAAAACCCTAACTTAACTCGGGGCAACTGACATGACTGCAACACTAGCTCCCAAGTTTCAGAAGGATACTGAGAACAGAAGATAAGCTAAGAAGAATGAAACAGAAAGGCAGAAGGAACCTGGGTCCCCAAAGCTCTGAATCTTCATACCCTCCCTGTTTCTCCTCCCATAGGCTTCTTTTGTGTTCTTGTGTTAGCTGCCTTTCCCCCCATTGTCTGCCAGTAGCAATTAAGACCGATTTAAAAAGATATATTCATTTTCTTTATTAAAGGTACCAACTCTCTCCAAACTCTGAATGTTATTTGTATTGTGGTGAGCAGATTCAACCTGATAAACCAAGTTATTTGCTAACAATTTCTGAGCTATAGAAAAGTATATAGCACCCAGGTGAGGTGTGGCAAAATTAAAAAGAAAAAAAGAAGAAAAGTATAACGCAGTTCATTTCCAAAAGTCCAGATACTTTCTGTGATTCATATAGAGATGTAACTATTCCTTCAAATGTATCATTGTGAGGTTATATTTTTCTTCAGTATAAATTCTGCTTTTTAACATAAGAAGGATACCCCATTCTGGTTGCATTCTGTTTAACTAAGAGTTGTCATTTGTTTTGTTATTTAATTACCCATTTTCAAAGACTTAGAAAACAGTAAAGTACATTGACCATAAAAACCTCCCCTAAATTAGCTGGGCATGGTGGCATGTGCCTGTAGTCCCAGCTACGCGGGAGGCTGAGGCAGGAGAATCGCTTGAACCTGGGAAGTAGAGGTTGCAATGAGCCAAAATCGCACCACTGCACTCCAGCTTGGGCGACAGAGGGAGACTCCATCTCAAACAAACAAATAAACAAACAAACAAAAAACCTCCCTGTACACCATTTCAACTCTTGAATAATACACCAGGTCTATAGTAGAATTTTCTCTTCTGTTTTGCTCTTTTGGCAGGACTCTGTGTTTATTTGGCGCCAAATAGGCTTTTGATTCAGGAAGGACGTATGAATTAGGAATGCACTTGGCTGTGATTAACAGCAAGTCTGTCAGCATTAGATTGTTATGGTTAAAAGTCTGGTTGTAGGAAGTTTAGGCTACTACAGCAGCTCCTCAAGTTTGCAATCAAAGGCACAGGTTCTTTCCAGCTTCTACTCTGCTCTTCCTAACATGTGGCTTTTGTCCTCCTAATTGCAAGATAAATGCTTTACATTCAGATTCCTCGCAGAAATAAAGGTGAAAGTTAAAGGCCAATGGGCTTTCTCCAAATCAAATATTACTCAGGAAAGAACACGCTCTCCAGGTAAATCTGCCCATACCTTATGGACCCAAACTGTGCCCCATGGCAAACCCTAGCTGGAAGGAGATCTGAGCAAATAAGTATTTTTAGTTCAGCACATTGACACCCCCAATAAAATATGGTTCTCTTTTCTCTTAGAAAGTATGTGGAAATTGGATAGCTAGCCAGAATATCTGCCACATAGGATGATTGTATTCTCTTTATCCTAGGAAAGTCTCAGTTGAAGAAGATAGAAAGGCTTTCAAGGAAAAATAGAATGGAAGGAGAAGTGCAATACACATTTTTTAGCCAAATAAAATTGCTGTAAGTTGAGTTGTTTTGATGACTGTAAACAGTACTATTTCTTTTGTAGATTGTCCTTTTCTGCGACATCACTGATCTGAATTGCAAGAGACACAAGTACACACGCAAGTCACAGCCAACTGAAAGCAAAGCAAGGGTTAAGGACACTGAGTAATTGCTCCTGGACAAGGCTAAGAGGACTATGGGTCATCCAGGACAGCCCAGTTCTACTGAGCCACCTTAATGAAGAGTAAGGTTGTGGAATCTCATTGGTGCTCATGGATTAAAGGAGATTGTTAATGCTTTGGGTGAACGACTTGAATAAAAAATTCTTTTCCATACATTTGCCATATTCTCCAGGCTTAGGGCCCAGCGAGGTAAGGACTATATATTCTTAAGAGACGTAGTCAGCTTTTAGGCAGTGGCTGTTTCTGCATAGCAATTAGAAATAACTTCTCTTTTAGCTATATGGGAATAAATTTAACAAACACCAACAGATGGCCTTTCAGACAGGAAGATTTCTACAGAATTCTAATCTCAACACTAATTGGTCAGGTCTTCCAAAGCAAAGAAAACAAGATCAGTTATCTTTATAATTCATACACAAACCTGATTTCTGCCTGATCAATGTAACAGTGCTTTAGACTAAATTGTCCAAATGAAGTCATCAAGCATTAGCTTATAAACATAAAAGCCTACACTATGTGAAAATTCCTTTATGCACTGAGCATACTGACGACACATATTACCTGTGTTTTCTCTTTTTTAAAAAATTGAAGTCTTTTAAATTCAATACAAATCTCTCTTTTTTTTGGTTTTTGTTTTTAAGACAGGATCTCACTATGTTGCCCAGGCTGGAGTGCACTGGCATGATCACAGTTCACTGTAGCCTCAACCTCCTGGGCTCAAGGGATCCTCCTGCCTCAGCCTCCCTTAGTAGATGAGAATACAGGCATGTGTCACCACACCTGGCTAATTAAAAAAAATTTTTCGTGTGTGGAGACCTGTCTCCCTGTGCTGCCCAGGTTGATTTAGAGTTCCTGGGCTAAAGCGATTCCCCTTGCCTCGACCTCCAAAAGTGCTGGGATTACAGGCATGAACCATGGCGCACAGCCAAAAAATGTTCTATTTTAAGAAAACATTGGGGAAATTTCCTTAAAAAGTTGATCCTTTGCAGGTGAACAGTCCTGCCTTAGACCTGGGTATGAGAGGCTACCACCCCAGTACTTATGCTTGAAAGGGTCCCACTCCGGCTATCCTCCAGCGAGAACTCCTCTCCATGGGTCCAGGAGTCAGCAGAGCCAAGGACACAACCCCAGTGGCTGCTGTCCCCCTCGAGGCCACACTCCAGGAACCAGAGTGCTGGAATTCCCTGCCACCAATCCAGGTGCACTCCTTCAACCTACACAGGACTCTCTCTAGGCCCTTCCATCCAAGTGTTTGAAGAGTAGCCAAGAGGCAGCTTTTATTGGGACCAGAGCTTGGACAAATGAGCTGTGCTACCACACAAGGGTGTGAGGGCCCTCTGATTCTGGACAGTGTAGAAGGAAGGTGGGCCAGGGGTCATGTCTCTTCACATTCTGGTGCAAGACTCCATTGGTCCAAAAATTTTACATTTAAATCTAGCCTTCCATGACACTATGTCAGGGTAGAACATATTGCACTTAATGGTTTAAGAGCTTCACTAATCATTTTCAAATATTTAGGCATCAACATGCCTTCATTTCTATTTCCCCTCCAGGTCCCACTCCTGTCCTACAATAATCATCATCCTCAATACACATATTTTGAAAATGTAGATTATTATATTAGATCTTGCTGAAAGCAGCACTCAGTTCAATAAAAGTAGCATACACACATTTTTATTCTTTCTTTCTTTTTTTTTTTGGATGGAGTTTTGCTCATGTTGCCCAGGCTGGAGTGCAATGACACAGTCTTAGCTCACTGCAATCTCCACCTCCCAGGTTCAAGAGATTGTCCTGCCTCAGCCTCCCAAGTAGCTGGGATTACAGGCACGTACCATCACACGCGGCTAATTTTTTTTTTTATTTTTAGTGGAGACGTGGTTTCACTATGTTGGCCAGGCTGGTCTCGAACTCCTGACCTCAGGTGATCCACCCGCCTCGGCCTCCCAAAGTGCTGGGATTACAGGCGTGAGCCACCATGCCTGGCCCACACATTTTTATTCTAAACATTTCCTTGAATAGTACCTCTTTATCTTCATGAATGTAGTAGGGCACACAGGTGAATTGTTTTCTATGCCTGTGACAAGGGACAATTTGAAAGTAATGAAGCATAGCACATTAAACGCCTTTCTTCAAAGGAATCTATGAAGCTTGGCCTAAAATCCTGTGGTTCTCTGTTTCAACACAATCTCATATCTTTTAAATTCTGTTTGTAAACTATTTTTTTAATTTTTTGAGAGCATGTCAGTGAATAAATTATTTTAGCCAATTCATAGATAAACTGAGCTTCAAAGAAAGCATAAGGTATTACTCTGTCTCTAACAACATTGTGTCCTGGGCCATGAAGTCAGAACTAGGACATGAAGTATAAATTAAAGATAAAACTCCTCTATGAGAACCTGGCTTTCTGCATGCAGGCTGGACTTCCCAGAGCCATTTCCCTAACTTTCCATGGCTTCTGCATTCTGGAGCCATCTGTGCTCAGCGCCGCTCCAGGTCAAGGGCTGTGTCAGCAGCATGTGATGCTGAGATTCCAAGTGGGGGCAGATCCGCTTGAAACTGGGCTTTGCTGAAATAGATCAATTCTTTTTAATTATATTTTGACCAAGCGTGCATAAATAAATTTCATCATTTTGGCATCCACATCACTCATCTCTGTCAATACCATATTCCCAACACTGGCAGAGCTGCCTGTGACTAAGCTTGACGCATATGCTCCCTGGACCTTACACCACTGTGGCAGCCATGACATGAATTTTATTTTGTGAAATATTTATAACATTTCCCACCACCATCATCATTCAATGGGGGGCTTTGGCAGCCTGCCACAGAGACAGAACCAAAGGGAAAGTGACTTCTGTGTGAGAATGGTAGGTGCTTTTTGTGTGTATGTTGGGAGGGGGTGCCTTTCAGCTTCTTTCTAAAGTCTGAGATTATCTACTATTTAGAATTAGTTATACCATCTCTCACCCACTAACTGAATATGTAAGTGGCTCAGGGAATTAGTAATCATAGTCCCAGATTTTCATTTCTCTTACCCACATTGAGTTTCAATTATGTACATTGTGTCAATAGGGACGTCATATTTTTCTGAAGAGTTGTAATGAAGTGGGCTTTGTGAATCTGCAGTCATTGAACCTAGATATTTGTAGGGCTTCCCCGTTTTATCACACCACTCCTGCCTTAAGAGGTACTTCCTGACCATCCACTTTAAATTACACCTTTCTGCAGTCAGTGCTATGGCATCACCCTGCTCTGTTGTCTCAGTGGTATTTATCACTATCCAAAATTTCATGGAATACTTATTTGTTTGCTTTTTGTTTTCTCCATTCCAATCCCACTACATTCAGACATTTTAGTTATGAAGTCCTATTATGAAGAAGGACCTCCTGTATCTTCTAAAAAATGTAACAGCTTTATTGAGATATAATTCACATATCATACAATTCATCCATTTAAAGTGGACACTTAGATGGTCTTTGGTATATTCAGAGTTGTGCAACCATCACCACAATGAATTTTAGAACATTTTCATCATTCCAGAAGAAAACTCACACATCAGCCCTCTCTCCTCATTCTTCCAACCCCTTTCCCTAATTTCTAACCAACTCTTCATCTACTTACTGTCTCTTTAGATTGGCCTATTCTGGATATCTCACATAAATGGAATACACAATATGGGGTCTTCTGTGTCTGGCTTCTTTTATTTAGTACAATGTTTCAACATCCTAACATGATATCAGTACAGTCATCCCTGGTCCCTAGGTATCTGTGGGGGATTGGTTCTAGGACACCTTGTGGATACCCAAATCCACAGATGCTCAAGCCTGTTATATAAAATGGTATAATATTTGCATATAACCTATGCACATCCTCCTATTCTCCTATATACTTTAAGTCATCTCTAGATTACTTATAATGCCTAATAAAGTGTAAATGCTATGTAAATAGTTATATCGTATTTTTAAAATTTGTATTATATTTATTGTTGGTTGCTATTTTTTATTGTTTTTTAAAATATTTTCAATCTGCATTTGGTTGAATCTGTGGATGTGGAACCCACAGAAAGGGAGAGCTGATTGTACTTCATTCCACTGCATGACTGTATCACACTTTATTTATTCAATAATCAGTCAATGACATTTGGATTATTTCCACTTTTTGGCTGTTATGAATAATGTGCTATGAACTTTCATGTACAAGTTTTTGTGTTGACATATGCTTTCATTTCCCTTGGGTATACACCTAAGAGTGAAACTGCTGGGTCATATAGCAACTCCATATTTAACCCTTTAAGGATCTGCCAGATTGCTTTAGAAAGTGGCTGCACCATGTTGCAATTTCCCTGCCTCCTTACCAACACTTATTATTATCTGTCTTTTTTATTATAGCCATCCTCAAGTGTGTGAAGGAGTATCCTATTGTAGTTTTAACTTGCATTTCTCTGATGGTTAATGAGATTGAGCATTTCATCATGTGCTTATTAGCCATTTGTATATTTTCTTTGCAGAAATATCTGTCAGATCCTTTGTACATTTTTAAATTAGATTTTCCAATTTATATGTTATAAGAATTCTTTATATATCAAGATACAAGTCATTTGCCAGACTTATAATTTGGAAATATATTCTCCCATTTTGTGAAGTTTCTTTTCTTTTCTTTTTTTCTTCAACTTTTATTTTAAGTTCTTGGGTACATGTGCAGGATATGCAGGTTTGTTACATAGGTAAACGTGTGCCATGGTGGTTTGTGGCACAGATCAACCCATCTGTGTATTAAGCCCAGCATCCATTGGCTATTCTTCCTGATACTCTCCCTCCCCCTGCCCCCTGACAGGTCCCAGTGTGTGTTGTTCCCCACCACGTGTCCATGGGTTCCCATTGTTCAGCTCCCACTTATAAGTGAGAACGTGTGGTGTCTAGTTTTCTGTTCCTGTGTTAGTTTGCTGAGGATAATGACTTCCAGCTCCATCCATGTCTCTGCAAAGGATATGATCTCATTCCTTTTTATAGCTGCATAGTATTCCATGGTGTATATGTACCACATTTTCTTTTCTATCATTGATGGGCATTTGGGTTGATTCCATGTCTTTGCTATTGTGACTAATGCTGCAATGAACATATGCATGCATGTATCTTTGTATTAGAATAATTTATATTCCGTTGGATATATACCCAGTAATGGGATTGCTGGGTCAAATGGTATTTCTGCTTCTAGATCTTCCACAATGGTTGAATTAATTTACACTCCCACCAACAGTGTGCAAGTGTTCCTTTTTCTCTGCCACCTCACCAGCATCTGTTGCTTCTTGACTTCTTAATAATTGCCATTCTGACTGGTGTAAGATGGTATCTCATTTTGGTTTCGATTTGCAGTTCTCTAATAATTAGTGTTGTTGAGCTTTTTTTTCATATTTTTTTTGGCTGCATGAATGTCTTCTTTTGAGAAGTGTCTGTTCATGTGCTTTGCCTAGTTTTTAATGGGGTTGTTTGTTTTTTTCTTGTAAATTTGTTTAAGTTATTTGTCAACTCTGGATACTAGACCTTAGTCAGATGGATAGATTGTGAAAATGTTCTCCCATCCTGTAGGTTGTTTTCTCTTTCTTGATGATGTTCTTTGAAGCACAACAATTTTTCACTTTGATGAAGTTAAATTTATCTACTTTTTATTTTGTCACTTGTGCTTTTGGTGTCATATATAAGAAGGCTTTGCTTAACCCAAGGGCATGAAGATTTACTCTTATGCTTTTTTCTAAGTTTTATAGTTGTAGCCTTTTCATTTAAACCTATTATTTATTTTAAGTTAATTTTTGTGTATGGTATGAGAGGAGTCATTTATCTTTTTTATCATTTCTCAGTGCCTAGAGTGTTTGGAACATAATAGATGCCTTATGAATATTTCGTGAGTGAAAGATTCCATGATGAGAAAAATGGTATTCGCCTCATGACGAATGATATTCAGCATATTTTCATGTGCCTGTTTCTTATTTCTACATACCTTTCTGGGAAGTGTCTTCTAATATTTTGCCCTTTGTTAAATAAATTATTATTATTATTTTTTGCTATTGAGTTTTATGAGCTCTTTATATATTCTGGATCCACATTTAGGATCAGATATCTGCATTAAGAATAATTTTCCCAGTATGTAGCTTGCTTTTTATCTCCATGGTATCTTTAGAAGAGCAGATGTTTTTAAAATTTCTTGAGGGTTTCTCCCCACTGTACCACTCCTGATGCTGGTGAAGGCTTGCAGTGACTCATAACCATCTTCCTCATGCCCCATAGGTGTACCATTTCCGGGATGCCTTCCCTGGCACACGGGTCAAATATCTTTCAAGACCCTCTCCCACATTTCACACAGCGGGCCTTCTGGGTGGATGAGCTGGGCTTGGGACTCACTGTGACTCTCCTTCCACAGAATTCCTCTGCTGAAGTGCCTCCTAAGCCTCTGTTTCATACCAACAACCAGAGAGTGGGCACATGGCTGAGCTGTAGCACAGGTGGAGAGGCTGACCTCCAACATACTCCTCTGCAAATGGGTTTTACCAGTGGTGGGGGTGCTGAACACAGTGCAGAGGTGGTGCCTAGACTCAGGAAAATCTGACTGCAACTGACAAGCTGGTGTCCAAGGACTGCTAAAGGCATATGTGCATACCTCCAGAGACATTCAGTGTAGGCCAGTGTTTGAGAGCACAGGAGTGGGTTCTGTCCCAGGCCCTTTCTCTGAGGCTGAAGCATGAGGTCTCCCTCGTATTCAACTTGGGCAACTACATGAGACTTAGAAGATGCAAGTCCCAGTGAGGCCATGGTGCAAAGTTCTCTAGCATCACATCATGGTATAGGAGTCTCTGACCATCACTGAGGAACCTTCCCTCCTCTTGGGAGAAATACATGGCCATGTCCTCAAAGTAAATGTTTTTACAGAGGTGGAATCCTCTTCTGAGTGCATCAACACGGTTGCTGCCATAGAAATCTATAGGCAGAGTGGGGAAGTGGGAGGCAAGAGACCAGAGTGGAGACTCAACGCTGTCATCTTCGCAGGGGCTCAGCAGCTGAGCCCTAGACCTGTGTAGGTGCCATGGGGATGATGCTTCCTTTTGTGCCTTCTCCCATTACCTTGGCTTCACTGAGAGTTCCAGAGCCTCTAATGTCAGTGCTGTTGTTTTTATAAATTGCTGGTTTCAATTGGTTGATATTTTGCTAGGGAATTTTGTGTCTATGTCCAAGAGGGAGAGTGAGCTATGGTTTTCTTCTTCTTCTTTTTTTTTTTTAATAATGTCTTTCTCTGATTTTATAACCATGGTAGCCTTGGTAACATTAAATAAATCTAGAAAGCATTGTCTCCTCTATTTTTTGAAAGAGTTTGTGTAGGGTGAATTCTACTTCTCTCTCTCTCTTTTTTTTTTTTTTTTTGAGATGGAGTCTTGCTCTGTCGCCCAGGCTGGAGTTCAGTGGCGAATCTCAGCTCACTGCAAGCTCCGCCTCCCGGGTTCAAGTGATTCTCCTGCCTCAGCCTCCTGAGTAGCTGGGATTACAGACATGCACCACCACACCTGGCTAATTTTTGTTTTCTTAGTACAGATGGGGTTCACCATGTTGGCCAGGCTGATCTCAAACTCTTGACCTCATGATCTGCCCTCCTCGGCCTCCCAAAGTGCTGGGATTACAGGTGTGAGCCATCGCGCCTGGCCCTCTATCTCTTTTTTTAAATGTTAGAGAGCATTCATCAGTGATGCTGTAGAGGTCTGGAATTTTCTTTTTTGAAAAGTTTTTAGATTACAAATACAATTTTTAAAAATAGACATTAGGCTATTCAAATGTTCTTTTGCTTGTTGAGTCAGTTTTGGAAATTTGTGTCTGTTAATGCATTGTTCCATTTCTTCTAAGCTATTGAATTTATTGATACAAAGTTATTTATAATATTCTATTATCTTTAATAGCTGTACTATCTATGATGATCTCCTTGCATCACTTTAAATTTCTGATATTGGAAAACATGTCTTCCTTCTTTTTTATCAGTCTAAATAGAATTTTATTAATTTTGTTTAATTTTTCAAATAACCAGCTGTTGTTTGTATTAGTTTTATCTGTCATGTGCTTTTTATTTCACTGATTACTTCTCTTATCTTTGTTATTCCATTTCTTTCTACTTTTCTAAAGCTTGATTTGCTCATTTCCTCTCAATCTTTAAGGAGGAAGCTTAGCTACTCGAATTTTCTTCCTCCTTAATATATGTATTTTATGCTACAATTTCCCTGTAAGCACTGGGTTACTTGCATTCCAGAAAGTTTGATATTTGTGTTTTTATTTTCATTTAGTTTAAATTTATGTGTGTATTGATTACTGATTGAGTGATTTTCCATATGAATATATAAATACACACACACACATACAAAGTGATTTCAGACTTAATTTAATTGTGGTTAAAGAACTCTCCCTCTGCCTTTCTTTTCCTTAGCTGTTTGGGAGACAGTATTAGTTTCAGAATAAATAGAGGCACGGATAGCAGAATTAGGGGAGAGGGTAAAACTCAGTGTGTGTGTGTTCGTGTGTGTGTGTAGAGAGAGAGTGAGAGGGAAAGCGTACATCTGTTGCATATATTACTGCAACCTTAGAAAGCATCAAGCACCCCATAGACTTGTGCTGGAGGTTTTCAGCTTACCTCCCTGCATGCACTCTGCCTTTCTTGAGTTTGTTTTGTTCCTGGGAGGCTGATTCATTTGTGCTGCATCAATAGGTTCCTTGTTCTCTGGTTTCTTTTAGAGTTGGACCATTGGAAGCACTGAGAAGAGGTCAGAGAGTGGTAGAAAGGCAAGGTCAAGTGCATTTTCTGGATCCCTCTCTGCCAGGATACCCTGAGCGAGTGCACATCTTCATCAAAGGTCATACTCCCATCAGCTGGCCCTTTCTCCAACCTCAAGTGCCCTCTGAGCTCCTCTGTGGGCTCCCTCTGCTTGTCCCTTGGGTCTAAGGGTGGCAATAGCCCTACAAGGTACAATAAACCCCTTGTTGGTTTTCATCGACCTTCACATAGTTTTGACGTAGCCCCTTCATTAAAACTCTCCTCAGTGATGCCCCTTGGATGTGCTCTTTTATATATATATATATATATATATATATATATGTTTTTTTTTTATTATACTTTAAGTTCTAGGGTACATGTGAACAACGTGCAGGTTCGTTACATATGGATACATGTGCCATGTTGGTGTGCTGCACCCATTAACTCGTCATTTACATTAGGTATATCTCCTAATGTTATCCCTCCCCACTCTCCCCACCCCACTACAGGCCCCGGTGTGTGATGTTCCCCTTCCTGTGTCCAAGTGTTCTCACTGTTCAGTTCCCACCTATGAGTGAGAACGTGCGGTGTTTGGTTTTTTGTCCTTGTGATAGTTTGCTGAGAATGATGGTTTCCAGCTCCATCCGTCTCTTTCATCCTCACATCTTGACTGACATTAGAGAGAAAGCCGCCCCTTTTCTGATGGTTACAGATAATTTGTTCTCAGCCTGGAGGCAGATGTTGGGAGAAGGAAAAAGCCTTTTTCCCTTTTTTTTCAGTCTTCTTGCAGGCAGAAATTCTGTATTGATGTATTATATTTTTCTTTCTATTATCACCAGTTTTTCAAATCCAACATGCCTCACTGTTAACTCCATTTCTCTCCAAAATAAAATAAAGTTACCTACACTTTTGTTAAAATGTTAATGTTTTCCCTGTGAGTAGGTTTCACCAGCCGAAGCCCCATTCATTTACACCTGAATTTCTGGAAGGATGGAAATCTCTCTCCTTCACTGGCTCATCAGTTACTCATTTATATTTCAGAATAAGGAGGTTTCAGACGGAAAATGATGTCTGGTGGTTATTTAAAGAGTAAGGGCTGCAACTAATTGGCTCTTTGGCACCAGCATCTTTTTCATGACAACATGGGGGCACTTGCTGTTATGACCCGCATCTATTTTACTGTATTGAATATGATGGTGGTTGTAAACGGAAACATGTTTCCCACTTCTGCTCTAAATAAAAGCATTGTAAAATGCTGTGGAATTCCCTCATCCAAAATATTTGTCTCATTAAGAGTTTTCTCACATCAGTTAATGACTTAATTAGCAAAACTCCTCAAATTAAAACCTTTATCAACATTAACTGTTGGCAGAGATAGAAAATTCTCATCCTTACCTCTCACCAAAGTTCATATAGTAACATGAGAAGAGCAATTTCCTATAAATGTTAAACAATAAATTTCTTAGGAACTTTCACTTCCACTTAAAGGGCAGCCAGGGGGCAGGAGGAGGAGGGGGTGAAAATATTGCTCACCAGTGACTAGACTCTCTAAATGCACTCCTGTTGACTGCCTACATGCCTGTTTACAATTCCTTTTTTTTTTTTTTTTTTTTTTTGAGATGGAGTCTCGTTCTGTCACCCAGGCTGGAGTGCAGTGGCGCGATCTTGGCTCACTGCAACCTCCAACTATCGGGTTCAAGCAGTTCTCCTGCCTCAGCCTCCTAAGTAGCTGGGATTACAGATGCACACCATCACGCCTGGCTAATTTTTGTATTTTTAATAGAGATGGGGTTTCACCATGTTGGCCAGGCTGGTCTCGAACTCCTGACTTCAGATGATCTGCCCACCTCGGCCTCCCAAAGTGCTGGGATTACAGGTGTGAGCCACCACGCCCAGTCTCTTGTCTACAATTAGTAAAGTGTAAAATCATATCATGTCTATTTGCAGCCCCATTATTTATTTAGAGATTTGTTCTCTTTAAAATATCCTAGTGCAAGTTGAGCAGTAAAATGCTCCTCAACTCCAGTCAAAAAGGCCTTGTGGGAGGGCAGGGAGTATATTGAGAACAGGGGCAAATTCAATAGTCCATCTCTCCCAAGTAAAATTTAAAAAATATATAAAATTGTGCAAAAAGAAACCACTATGCAGGCAAACAGGGATGACCTTCAAAATCTTTCATCACTGGTACTGCAAGACACTGTCAATCAGAACAGACATCAGCCACCAGCAGCTACTCCTAGACTAGTGCAGATTTGGTAAGACAAGCATCATCCATGACATACCAGGGTGTGTGTGTGTGTGCCAATATGTATGGCCTGTGTGATTTGAGAAAGGAATGGGATTCCTTTCTATGTTAAATGGAGTTAGCATAGACCAAGAGAAGAGAGGAAAGAGATGGAAAGGTGAGGGAGACGGCGTCCAGCCAAGTTTGGCTACAGGGCATTGCCACGCTTTGCTCATTACAATGATTTCCATATTTTTGATGCATTTAGCTTTTCATGGTGCTTTCATCCCATCTCATTTTATCCTTAAAGACAAATATAGCAATATTCTTACTTTATAGCTTAAGTAGTAGACTGGAAAGGTGAGATTATAAGGGTGTCTTAGTTCTCAAGTCAAATACCTTCTTCCTCTGTAAGAGGTCTTGGAAATAAACTTGTGTCCCAGATTCTGGATTGAGATATTCTTGCCCTTACACTATGTGAATTCAGTCTTCCATTCAAGGAATTGAAAGAGGCCCTGCTGCAATAAATTTGTCTTTGCTTCTTCTGCCAGCCCCTGTGAGCGCTATCCTTGGATCAGTCCTCACAGTCTGATTGCCCTGCTTCCTCTAGGTGTTGGCTCTGATCCTGACCTTGGCTCAGCTCAGTTTTAGATGATCCTCCCGAGGATGCAATCTTAGTCAGTACCTGTTTTTAGTACTATTGACATGCCTGTGTCAATCTTATTTGCTCAGTGATTCTTGCCTCTCAAAATGACTCAAGAAAAGCACCTTATTCTTCCTTTTATCATGGGCATGGTTACTTTTTTGTTTTTTGCCAGTTGGGAATGTGAAGCTTTGTGTAATTCATTTTTCTCAGATCTTTTCGTCTGAGAGTCAAAGCAGAGTCCCAGGCCGGGCGCGGTGGCTCACGCCTGTAATCCCAGCACTTTGGGAGGCCGAGGCGGGCAGATCACGAGGTCAGGAGATCAAGATCATCCTGGCTAACATGGTGAAACCCCGTCTCTACTAAAAATACAAAAAAAAAAATTAGCCGGGTGTGGTGGCGGGTGCCTGTAGTCCCAGCTACTTGGGAGGCTGAGGCAGGAGAATGGCGTGAACCCGGGAGACGGAGCTTGCAGTGAGCCGAGATCGCGCCACTGGACTCCAGCCTGGGCGACAGAGTGAGACTCTGTCTCAAAACAAACAAACAAACAAACAAACAAAACAGAGTCCCAATTACAGTTATAACCACCAAAAAGACTGCTTTCCTTTCAAAGACCTGCTCCTATTTGGATCTATTTGTAGGAGGCCTCAGAGGGTGTCTCACTTATGCTTCCATATGACATCCATTAATTTTTTTCCTCTCCTTTTCTATACTCTGCCCACCCCTGTTTTAATATGTCTACAACTGGGTACATCAATGATTATATACTTTGTGAGAATTGCCATGTCTGGTCAGCATCAAGGGTGCTATTATATATGTCAAAACACTCTCACCCCCACCCCAACTTCTTTCAAAGCTTCTTTTTACTATTTCTGTCTTAGAATACTCAGGCTGCTATTGCAACATGCTTTAGACTGGGTAAGATTGAGTAATTGCAAGCAATGAAATTTGTTTCTCATAGTTCTGGAGGCTAGGAAGTCCAAGATCAAAGTTATAGCAGATTTGGTGTCTAGTGAGGGTTCATTTCCTAGTTCCTAGATGGTGCTTTCTCTCTGTGTCTTCATGTGGAAGAAGGGGCAAACAAGCTCTCTCAGGCCTCTTTTATAAGGGCATTCATCCTATTAATGAGCACTCTATCCACATGATTTAAAAGTCCCCATCTCTTAAAACTATTGCATTGGGGATTAGGTTTCAATATATGAACTTGGGGGTGACACAAACATTCAGACCGTAGCAATTTTAATGACATTTGCTGCATCTTGCTACTACTAAATCTGTTTTTCCAGATGCCCGTTTTCAGGCTCTGACCTGTGACAGTCGCGTGCTCTGGATGTGTCCCTGCAGGGATGCAGTTATCAATGTGCTGAGGCACTCGAGGTGCTAGTGGCCGTATCCTATAAAGGCTCCATGGGGCCAGCTATTTTCTGGTATAACAGGAAAAATCTTCTTCCTCCACTGTCTTTTTTTTTTTTTTTTTTTTTTTTTTGAGATGGAGTCTTGCTCTGTCCCCCAGGCTGGAATGCAGTGGTGCCATCTAGGCTCACTGCAATCTCTGCCTCCCGGGTTCAAGCAATTGTCCTGCCTCAGCCTCCCAGGTAGCTGGGACTACAGGCATGAGCCACCACACCCAGCTAATTTTTTTTGTATTTTTAAATAAAGATGGGGTTTCACCATATTGGTCAGGCTGATCTCCAACTCCTGACCTCAAATGATCCACCTGCCTCGGCCTCCCAAAGTGCTGGGATTACAGGTGTGAGCCAGTGCACACCTGGCCCTTCCTCCACTTTTATGCTGATCTCTGTTAATTCTCTGGACTTCAGAAACTGGGAAGTTCTTGAATCATATATAATCAGAAAATCCACAATATGGGTTTAGAATCTTCAGAGCCTCAACAATGTTAGACTCACTTTTGCTCTTTCATTTTCTTCTTTCCTCCCTCACTCCCTCCCTCCTTGGTGTCAATATTTATCTCCACCCATTTCAAAGCCCCACATCTCTCTCTTTCTATTGCTTTCATTCCCACTTGCTATGAAGTTATTTCTTTCATGGGGAATGTGATGAGTTTGTTGAGAAATGGCCTGCCATTGACCCAGGCTCACATCATCCTAGCTTAGCAACCTTAGAGGAGGGATACTACTTTTTCTCTTTCAAAGTAATGTGGTTGCCACCATAGGTGGGACCGCTGTGACTCGAGTCCCCTGTGCCTCGAGTCCTGGGGCAGCCGACTGTGCCACCCCCACCCTCACGGAGCCAGGCTGGACCACTCCCAGGCCCGGAGCCTCCACTGCTCTAGACTGTGGCCCTACGTCACTGCTGTCACCCGCTGCGGCTGCAGGGAGAGCATGGGGAGGAGGTGGACAGTCCCCGGAGCCCCCCGTCCTGCGGGCCGCCGTGATGGGGCCGGGCTGAGTCTCCAGCTGGTGGGGGAGCAGAGCAGTCGGGTACGGAAGGGGCAGGCAGAGAGGGGCCCTGAGGGAGAGCTGGGCCTGGAGTGGTGCCACGCTTCCACGGGGAGTGTGGGGGCCGGCGGGGGGCGGAGCTGGGGCCATGCTTCAGGGGCCCGGGGTGGGAAGTGGGAGGGGCTCCCACTACAGGAACCAGGGAGCAGCCAGCCACCGTGCCCACAAACCAGTCATGCACCTTGGGAGAAAGCCCTGGCGGGGCCACCCAGGGCCACGTCCTCAGGGTCGGCCCCACATTGGGGTGACTGCCGAGCCTGAAGCTCCCGAAGGCCGGACTGGTGCTCATGATGGGCTCCCAGAGGCGCTCCCAGAGGCACACCCAGGCAGAGTTGCCAGCTGGGTGAGGAGGAACCTCAGGCCTCCCCTGAGCCCGGGGACACAGAAAGAACTCACAGCAACGTCATCCTTCCCCCAGTTGCCAGGCTCCCGCCCCAGGCTGCAAAGAGGTGTGGCGAGGTCACTCCAGGGAGCTGGCAGAGCAGGGGACAAGTGGGAGCCCTGCCCCTTTCTAGTTGGTGGGGTGGGAACTCCCTGGGTGCTGCTGCAGGTGCCCTGCCACGGCTCCAGACCCAGGCATCTCTGTGCTCTTCGGGGTCTGGGAAGACCCCCTGCCTTCCACAGGCTCAGAAGTGGCTGCTCCCATGGCCTGGCCCAGCTGTTGGTGCCTCTCCCAATCTCTGAGCAAAGTTGGGGGATGAGCCTGCACACTTTTGCAGCCCAGCTGCGTTCACACACTCGGGGCAGCACTGACATGCAAGCCCCCTGCCACCTCAGCCCCTGTGGACTTCGGGCACCAATAAGCACGGGAGGGAGGCAAAGGGGGCCCTGGGGACAGCCCCACACTGGCCTTCAGGCGCCCCTTAGCATGAACAGCCTGGATGCCATGAACAGCCTGGGTGCTGTGAACCATAGTGGAGGCAGACAGGCTCCTGGGCAGAATGGGCTGGTCTCCAGAGAGGCCCCACCTTCAAGCAGGGAGGACCTGAAGCCTGGGAGCCAGGCCATCAGTCTGGTGGACCAGAGGGGGATCTTATGGTGCTTTTCCCTGTGCCCACCCATGGCTGCCCATGGACAAATCAGCATGCACTTCCTCCCCTCTGAGGCCCATAAAATCCTCCAGACTCAGCCAGACTCAAGCAGAGGATGGGGAGACAATGGGGAGATGACTAGAGGACCAGCTGCAGAGATGAGCTACCCTTTCTCCTGAGAGTTGAACACTTGTTGGGACACCCTGGCTAGGGAGAGAAGCTGCCCACTGCCAGTCTCCTCAGAGCTGTTTCATTGCTCAATATAGCTCCTCTTCATTTTGCTCACCCTCCACTTGTTTGTATACCTTATTCTTTCTGGTCAAGGGACAAGAACTTGGGACTTGCCAAATGAGGCTAAAAGAGCTGTAACACAAACAGGGCTGAAACATGCCCCTTACTTGCTATGTTGCAGGTGAAGAGAAGGAGAGAAAAGATGCAGCCCTTCAGGGATCCCAGCCCTGGAGGCTCCCAAAGCCAGGTCTGTGACTCCCTCTTTGGGGCCCTGTGGTTCCTGATGTCTCCAGGCTTCCGGGCACCACTGCATTCCCTGGTGCCAGCCAGGGAAGCTGCTTGTGGTGCACCTGGTCCAGCTGCAGTCTCACAGAGAGTGGGCACCCATCCCAGCACCTGGAGCTGCCTGTGCCATGGCAGCAGCTGTCGTGTCTGACTGTGTGCAGTGGCTGGACCCCACACTCGTTCACACACCCCTTGCTGTTCCATGCCTGACTCCCACTCAGAGTCGTGGGGTCCAGGCTGGTGGCGTGAGCCGAGCGTGGCCTGCCAGGCCAAGTGAGTGGAACAAGCTCAGTGGGCCCGAGCAACACTCAGGGAAAGGTGCCACCAGCCACAGAGGTTTCTGGCCAGAAAAGCAACACCCCAAAGATCCTGTAACGATATGTAAAATCTTATCAAAGATACTGTTTGATACAGTTTGGGTCAGGTGCTTTTGCTTGCATCAATCGTGGTGGCCCGAGGATAAGATATTGAAATGGAGAGTACCATTAAAGCCTCACAAAAGAGAGGGTAAGAAAAATTCCACAAAGAAGGAAAGGTACTGCTATCGGAATATGAACGTAAGGGATGCTGGGCAGAAAAAAGCAATAAATGCTCGGTTAAAAAAATAAATATCTTACAGAGCTTTTGGTGAGAAAAATTGTAAGTTTTTATTTGCTGCTCATCTCTCTCTAGAACTCAGAGATGAATCCATGGAGGTAGGTCAAAAGAACAGTTTGGTCGCTGACTCTACTGAGTCTCCTGTCCCATACTGTGACCAAGGCTCTAATATTAGACATAGCTGTGTACCAACTCTTTTCCTGGATGTATTCTTTCTCAGGAGACTCTTTCATCTTCCACTCTATAAACCCATGGTAGCCATCCCAACACAGCCCTATAAACAAACATGCTCAATCTGTCTAAATCCTAAAATGAGTACTTCTTAGGACAGTGGAAGATGTGTAATATCTTGCTTTTTCCATAATTATAATGGGAAGAATTATAATATCTATCAATGTCTAGGGTTCCTTTTATTATTAATTACTCAGAGCTTTTGTAAAGTGTTTCAAGGTCATTTCAAATGAGGATGATGTAAGTAGGAAATATCTAATTACTATATATCATATTATTTTTGTCCTGTTAAAGAAATTTATGAATGTCTCAATATTTTGTATAATGCCGCATTTTATTAAAATGCCATGAAAAGAAACATTCTCTCTTTAAATCAAGAGGAATAAAGAGAACAATTATATTTCTGGGATTATTTCTATATAGTGCTTACTGAAAGAAAACACATGGAACAGAGGACATTTAGAGATTCTTCCCCTCATTATACGAAGCCCTAAATTTATCTTGCCACACTGAAACATTTTATTTGGATCGTCCCATTTCTTTCTAAATCTTTCATTATCAAATTTTGAGCAAAAAGAAAAATTATCTGTACATAGCCTATGTAAAATCACAATCATAGCATGCTTTTACATAGCTCAGTAAGGAAAGTATTCAGTGTTGATAATTTAGTTTTTAATTCTTATTTTGGTTTCCTTTTTTTATGGAAACAAATCAAGCATGGTAATTATTGAATCTCAAATTTCTACCCCAGCTTCAACCTTTCCTTCATCTCTTGGTTGTATAACCTGTTCTCTCCCCAACATCTCCATTCGGCATCACAATAGATCCCTCAAATAGAAGTCTTGATTCTTCCTACCAAAACATGCCCCCGAATCCAAATTCTATCAGCTGTTAAGCTATTTCTCAGCTTGAACCCCACCTGTCTCCTCACATTTGTTTAGCCAGTGGGTCCCTGTTAGGCTTTGCCAGGAGGGGGCGCTAGAGAAAAAAAACTTTAACTCTGGAGAAGACAGAAGGAACTTGCTCCTCCTTCCTTTTGGGTTTCTTCCTGGTTTACTTTCTCTTCCTGTTTTGACTTCCTGTTCCTGTCAATCTAACCCTGGCAATGCTTTTCCACCTGGCAGCAGTGGTTTATCCTGATGCCAGTAGTGATCACAGTTTTTCCCAGCTTTTGTTATGTCTTCTTGGAGAAACCAACAACACCAATCACCTGGGAGGTCTGGGTCCCAGCTCTGCAGTGCTTTTCCTCTAAGCTGAGAGACAATAGCACCAGCTAAGCAGTGCCCCCTTCTCATCGTACTCAGCTACATCGGACCTGCTTCCACGCTTCTGAATATTCATAATTCCAACCCCTTCTGTTTGTTTTTCCATCCCTGGGAGTGGTGGTTGCTTCCTGCAGTTGCTACCTCAGTGATACCATGGTGTTCACTTTGCCTAGGTTATTTTTTAATATTAAATTTTATATTAAATAATCTCTGTTAAAATAACAGGTATAGTTTCTTCCTCCTAACTGGATCCTGACTGATACAGTCCCCATCTTGGTGAAACAAATGATCATCCCACTTGCTCATGCCAAATACTTAGAAATCATCTTTGATTTATCTTTCTCTTATACCACATTGTCAATCCATTAGCAAATCCTTAAAGATCTACCTCTGGAGTACATCTTGCACTTGAGCACTTCTTGTCACCCCCATTTCTACCACCTTCATCTAAGATGCCATTACTCTTTGCCTGGATTATTGTTTTAACTCCTACCTGATTTTCTGAATCTGCCCTTGCCCCCAATTGTGCATGGGTCAGTGGAAGTGATCTTTTTTTTTTTTTTTTGAGATGGAGTCTCCTTCTGTCACCCAGGCTAAAGTGCAGTGGCGCGATCTGGGCTCACTGCCAGCTCCACCTTCCAGGTTCACGCCATTCTCCTGCCTCAGCCTCCAGAGTAACTGGGACTACAGGTACCCGCCACCATGCCCAGCTAATTTTTTTTTTTTTTGGCATTTTTAGTAGAGCCGGGGTTTCACCATATTAGCTGGGGTAGTCTCGATCTCCTGACCTCGTGATCCACCTGCCTTGGCCTCCCAAAGTGCTGGGATTACAGGTGTGAGCCACTGCACCCAGCCTGGAGTGATCTTTCGAAAACTTAAATCCGATGATTTTACTCTTCTATGCTCAGCTCTCAATGACTTACCATTACACTTTTAAAAATCCAAACTCTCTGCCCAGGCCTGCAAGGTCTTAAGTGATCTGGCTCTGACACTCTCTCTGACCTCATCTTCTGGACATCACATACTGGCTTTATAGCAGTCATTATGCTGCCTCCTAGGTAAAGCTGAGAAAGTTAAGACTCCCAAAGCCCCCCTCCCTTGATTGCCCCCTCAGTGTGCTGGCCTCTCTGCTTCTTGTGCTGCATTTTTCCTGCCCCTCAGGGGCAAAGCTTTCCTGTCTCGGACCACTTGCCCTGAAAAATGAGTTTGAGTTGTATCATGCATACGTTAGGGGGTTCTACTCCCAACATTACTATTAATCTTAATTCTTTAAAAAAGACATTTTAGAGACAATGCTTTTAATCCCCAAAGTTATTCTAATGGTGGGAATAAAAGGTTTCCAGCAGTACCATGGTGATGAATGTCAATGGTTGTGACATTTTGACCACTCTCAAATTCATATCACTGAGGGCTATTCCTCATTAATTCTGGGCTCTAAATAACCAAAGTGTGGCTCATTTGACTGCAAGTAACAGAAGCTGACTCCTAGTAGTTTAAGGGACAAAATGTATATATATATGTATATATATTCTTTGACAGAATAGTGGCATATTCACTGAATTCGGGGAAGAAGTGAGCAACTCAGCCCTGTTGGGAAGGGTAAAAGCAGATTCTTCCCGGGAACTCAGCCAGTTTGTGAACTTTTCCTCTCTAGCACTGCTATTTGCGTGATTCAGCCCCAGAGACCCCATTCTTTATGTGCTTTCTCATGAATTTCCAATTTTCTAGGAGAGAGAATCTGATAGAACCTGTTTCACTAGGACCAGAGACCCAAAGTGACATAGGAAGCTGTGATGGCTAATATTAGGTGTCAACTTGACTGGATTGAGGGATGCCTGCATGGCTGGTGAGGCATTGTTTCTGGGTGTGTCTGTGAGGGCGTTTCCAGAGGAGACTGGCATGTGAGTCAGTGGAAAGGCAGGGGAAGACCTGCCCACGTTGTTCAATTGGCTGGGAGCTTGGTTAAACAAAGCAGGCAGAAGGAGGACAAGCAGTTTTCTTAGCTGCTTCTCTCTCTCTCTCTCCCTTCTGGAGCAAGACACCTTTTCTCCTCCTGCCCTTGGACACCAGACTCTCCGTTCTTCAGCCTTTGGACCTGAGACTTGCACTAACAACCTCTTGGAGCCTCCTGGAGGCTCTCAAGCTTTTGGTCTCAGACTGGGGCCTGCACTGCTGGCTTCCCTGGTTTTGAGGCTTTCAAACTGGGACTGAGCTACCTACTGCCTTCCCTAGGAGCCACACTACCAGCTTCTCTCATTCTCCAGCTTGCAGGTGGCCTATCGTGGGACTTTGCCCTTGTAATCGTGTAAGCCAATTCTCCCTAATACACTGTCTTTCATATATATACATATTCTGTCTCTCTGGAGAACCTTGACTGATACAGAAGCCATGGCTGATGCAGGACCACTCATGAATGCCAGGAGCAGTTACCAATAGGGAGGATTGTTTCAAAATGCCTCTCTGAAATCACACCTGTGGGCTACCCACCCCAATAAACCTTTCTTCTCATATATCCAAAGGTGTCTTTGCCTAACATAACCTAATTATTGCACATAAAATCACAAGTTTCACATCATCTCCTCAACCTGAGACAACTCCAAGTCACATCCAGCTGTTGCCTCCAGGTGCATCAACGTTGATGTGTATTCAGGGGTCAACCAAAGGCTTAGAAAAATTTCATATACTTGGTGTCTCCCTCTCTGCCCTTTGCTCTCCAGAGTTTTCTCCTCACTTTCTAGTGAATATGAGTGTCCTGAACTCTGTTCCCTGGTTTCTCAAACCACAAAGACTGTGGGTTTTTATCTGGGTTTTAGTTGCCCTGTGCAGCACCAGCTATAGCCTGACATTAGGCTAAGAGCCATTTCAAAATGAGAAACTGACTCTGTGCCATTTCCTTCTTCCAACTGTTGGCTTCTCTTCAGAAGCTGCCTGATTTTATTTACTCTCCAAAGTACTCAGGTCATTATTTTATTTTATTATTATTTTTTGAGATGGAGTCTCGCTCTGTCGCCCAGGCTAGAGTATAGTGGCGTGATCTCGGCTCACTGCAACCTCCACCTCCCAGGTTCAAGCAATTCTCCTGCCTCAGCCTCCAGAGTAGCTGGGACTACAGGCACCTGCCACCATGCCTGGCTAATTTTTGTATTTTTATTAGAGATGGGGTTTCACCATATTGGCCAGGCTGGTCTCGAACTCCTGACCTCGTGATCCACCCGCCTTGGCCTCCCAAAGTGCTGGGATTACAGACATGAACCACTGCACCTGGCCAGTTGTTATTTTTATGTTGCATCTGGTGTTGATAATTGCCATCTTTAGGCATAGGAAGTAACTTCCAGACCATCAATAGAGCTGACTGCTTTGGTTTTAATCCTGCTGTATCACTTATTACCTGTGTGAACTTAGGCAATTTACTTAATTTGCCTATGTCTTAGTTTCCTTATTTATAAAATAGAAAAAAATATTATCCATATTTAGGGTTATGGAAATAATTATATGACATAATTCATATAAAACACTTGGGAAAATTATCATTGAATATCTGAGAATGTTATTTTTATGCCATTTTTGAGATTTTTCCTAATACATTTAGCTGTTTCCTCAATGAATAATAATTGTGATTCATTTCAAATTTTCTGACGATCTATCATCTTGGATAGCACTAGATGAAATTCACTAATAAATTTTCACAAATGTATTAGGTTGCAAGTTTTAAATCATCATTCTCATTTCAGGTGATGTTTCCCTCATTACTCAAATATTAAATTATATTGTATTTTATTTCCAGTCCCCCAGATATTGTGATGTATAACTACTTTATGAACAGTAGAATTGAATTTATAGTTTTTTTCCCAAGTTACTCTCAAACATTAATTATAGTCCTTATTATTAAGTAAAAAAATAATGTTCAAATCGGCCTTTTTACTCCTTTGTGTCATTTGTTGGGAAAATATTTACTGACTGCTTACTATTTCCAAGAACGAAAATGATAAGAAAGTGATGCCTACAAAAACCTTGTAATATTTCAGTTGATGTTCAGAACATTTATTTTATAAATTTGTCTTATTTATATTAGAGAAACTATCATCTAGAATAATATGTAAATATAATTGCATAGCAGTTCATTAGCATTCCCTATAGCATTTAGCAAAATCTTTCAGGCCGGAAATTTAAATCATGTATTCCTCAAGGCATGGATAAGAAAAGCATCCCTTGTTTCATTCAGGATTTGGAGCCAATAAATGAAAACTCTGACAACAAGGGCTTAAACAATGGGGCTTATTTTTCTCATGCATTAAAAATCTGGATGTACCAGCTTGAGGCTGGTGCAGGCTCCTAAGGTGATCAACAAAGACCCAGTCTCCTTGGATTTATCTGTTCTTCCATTATGAACATGTGGTTTTTGTTTTGCTGGTCATGAGATGACTGCTACACCTCCAGAGATTGTTTGCATTCCAGGGAGACAAAGGAGGGAAAGTGAAAGACGAGGGGACGTGCCAGCTGAATTGGTTCCATTTTATTAGAAAAACAATTGCTTCAAAAGACAGGCACTCCATCCCCATCCCAGCAACTCAGTTTAGATTTCATCAGCAATAACTGGGTCATAATGCAAGTCAGTCTTGCAAGGTGAATATTTTAGCTGTGCACAATGCCCCAAAGGAAACTGGGATTCTGTTAATAACAATGGAAAGAAGAGATACTGAGAGGGCCGAAAGGTTTCACCCACTTGTAGGCATAGCTGTGGGGCACATGAAGACTTTCCAAGAAAATCTTGGAAATCATTTTCCAGTTTTTCAACTTCCATGGATATAGTGTGTTCTAAAAGTGATCTATCTACAAAAGCATCTGAGGCGAAGGCATAACAACAATTCTATTTTACCGTCCCCACTTTTTAAGCAGCCCTCTTCCCACCTTGCAAAGGAACTGCATGCCTATCACCACCCTGAATTTTACTGGGGTGTGTTGCCCAGGGGATATAAAAACCTCCAGGATAAAGTCAAAGAGACAAAATAATGGTATGAATAGCCTCAGTAGCCTTCTTTATTTAAAGTTGAATCATCCCGGTTGGACTTCTAGACTTTCCACACATTATGCATATTTCTGTTCAGAGCAAATCGTGGTATTAGAAATGACGGGTTTAGGTTTAAAATGTTGTCAATGCTTGGAGTACAGCTATATTATTGAATGGAATAGCAGAATTTTAACAACTTTTATTTGCGTGTGTCCTTATGTCTTCCCTCTTTTGGTCTTGTCAAAGACTGTATTGCTATTGAGGATGAGTCTTTGAGGGCAAAGCAAAGAAAATATCTATAAGGAATATTGAAGGCAAGGGTGTGTCACTTTTATAGCAACAAAGGTGTGTGTCTTCATCTAAATCTATTTATTTACCTATCTATCTTAGAATTATAATTTAGAAGACGGTTATCAAAGGAGTGCATATCAATAATGTTTATTTGAATTGAAAAATAAAGGAATATTTTTCTGACAAAAATTATTCTGCGTTTTGCTCATTAATTTGATAATGGGGGTTGGACTTGGCAATTAGATTATATAGTGAGTATTTTTCAGAGTTCCATTTAGGTCAATCTGTACCAATTTATTTTATGAGTCTAGCAATACCCTGACTCCAAACTTGAGACATCAAAGAGGTAAATTATAGACCATATCTGTCATGAGCATAGATGTATAAGTCTTTAACAAAAATTAGTAAATCACATCCAGCCTTACATAAAAAGGATAACATATCATTTGCATGACACTTAATTCAAGAATGTAAGGCTTACTTACATTCCAAATCAGCATATTTTACTACATTAACTGAATAAAAAATCTTACGAGTAACTTGATAGATACAGAAAAGGCACATGACAAAACTTGATACCTATTCATGATTTTTTAAAACTCTCAGAAAACTAGGAATAAAAGCAACTTCTTTAATCTATCATAATATCTATGAAAAACCAATAGTTAACATCATAACTTATGGTGAAATATTGGATATATTTTACATGAAACCAGAAAACAGTAATGACACCAACTCTCATAGCTTTTATTCAACATTATGCTGATAGTCATAGGTAGGATAATAAGGCAAGAAAAAAAAAGCCATATAGGTTGGAAAGAAGAGATAGGCCTATTTTAGTGACCTTAAACAAGATTTACTACAAAACTACAGCAATCAAGGAAATGTAGTATTTGTATAAGGACAAACCAAATAAATCAATGAAAAAGAGCAGGGTCTAGACATAGACCTGCAAATTAACCAATAATTATTTTATGTCCAAGTTGCCAAGGAGTCTTTTCCATGCAAACAGTTAACAGGCATATGAAAAAAAATATTCAACATCACTAATCATCAGGGAAATGTGAATCAAAATCATAATGAGATATCATCTTACACCAGTTAGAATGGTTACTACTAAGAAGTCAAAAAACAATGGATATCAGTGAGGATGCAGAGAACAGGGAATGCTTATACACTGTTGGTGGGAATGTAAATTAGTACAACCTCTCTGAAAAATGGTATAGAGATTTCTCAAAGAACTAAAACTGCAACCTCCATTTGATCCAGCAATTCCACTTCCGAGTATCCACCCAAAGGAAAAGAAATTATGTAAAAAAAAATACCTGCACTCACATGTTTATCACAGCTCTATTCACAACAGCAAAGTCATGGAATCAACCTAAGTGATTACATAAAGAAAATGTGATAAATGTATACAATGGAATACTATTCGGCCATTAAAAAGAATTAAATCATGTCTTTTGCAGCATCATGGGTGGAACTAGAGGCCATTATTTTAAATGAAACAACTCAGAAACAGAAAGCCAAATACCTCCTGTTCTCACTTATAAGTGGGAGCTAAATAATGCGTGCATGGGGACATACAGTGTAGAATAACAGACACTGGAGATTCAGAAGGGTAGGAAGGTGGGAGGGGCAAGGGATAGAAATTACTTAACGGGTACAATGTACATCATCCAGGTGATGGGTACACCAAAGCCCAGACTTCACCACTACACAATATATCCATGTAGCAAAACTGCACTTGTACCCCTTAAATTTTTATGAAAGAACAAAAACAAAAAGGAGCCTTATAGACAAAATGTATTGGAACAACTGAATACTCTGTTGGGAAAAAGCTGAACATTGTACCCTACTCACTCCGTGTGTAACAACTAATTCAAGATGGATCAGAGCCATGAATGTAAAAGCTTGAATTAAAAAAAAAAAAACTTCCATAAAGAAACATAAAGGAATATCTTTCCACACTGAGTTTAGCCAGATTTCTTAGAAAAAAAGAAGCCTTAATAATGAAAGAAAAAACTACATAAATTGAATTATGTCAAAATTAAAATTTTTTCTCTTAAAAACATATCATTATGACAATAAGAAGGTAAATCACAGCCTGAAAATATTCATTATATATCTAAAAAAACACTCTTACTCATAACATATTTTAAAAATTTCCTGTAAATCAATAATTAAAAGAAAGACCCAGTTTTGAAAAAAAAAATAGATAAGGTCTCAAAAAGACCCTAGTGAGAAGGAGCTAACTCAGTGACCAGTAAGCACAAGAAAAGGTGCTCAAAATCACTGCAGTCAGGGAAATTCAAAATAAGCAATAATAAAATACCACTTTACATACACTAGGTCAGCTATAACAGAAAGACTGAGAATAGCACAGGCTGGCAAAGATGTGCAGCAACTGAGCTTCCTATACCTTGCTGTCAGAAGTGAAAAATAATACAACCACTTCAGGGAACGATTTAGCATATATAATGTTAAACATGTATCTACTCTATGACCCAGAAATTCAACACTTAGGCATTTACCCTGAGTAATATTTAATTTAATATAATAATAATATTTACCCTGAATAATAATAAAAACATATATACAGGCTGGGCACAGTGGCTCGTGCCTATAATCCCAGCACTTGGGAGGCCAAGGCAGATGATCACTAGAGGCCAGAAGTTTGAGACCAGCCTGGGCAAGATAGCGAGATTCTGTCGTGCAAAAAATTTTTAAAAATTAGCCAGGTGGGGTGGTGAGTACCTATAATCTCAGCTACTCAGAAGACTGAAGCTGGAGGATCACTTGAACCCAAGAAGTTGAGGTTGCAGTGAGCTATGATTGCATCACTGCACTCCAGCCTGGGTAACAGAGAGAGACTCTTTCTCTGAAAAAAAAAAAAGAAAAAGAAAAATAGGAAACATATATCAACAAAACAACTTGTGCAAGAAAAGAATGTTAGCAGTTTTATTAATAATAGCTTGAAATTAGCAATAATCCAAATGTCAATCAACAGGAAAATAGCTAAATATATTGTAATATATTCATACTTAGCAATCAGAAATCTACTAGCTTAATATATGCAACAATATGGATGATGAATCTCAAAAACATTAAATTGAGTGAACATGGCAGATGCATAGGATGAGATGTCATATAATTTCATTGATATACCATACAAACAGGCAAAAGTAATCGATGCTAGATTAAGCTAGAAATCTGCTAGAGTTTAGAAATGATTTTCAATGGGAGGTGGGGAAACTTACTGGAAGGGTACACAAAAAAACTTTCAGGAATGTTGGAAACAATATCTTGTTGTATGAAGTGGGTATACAGGTATATACATTTGTCAGAACTCATTAACTTGAATATCTAAGCATTTCATTTTTATATAAACAATGCCATAATTTATAAAACAAGGAAGCTAAACAATACAGTGTGAAGAGCAAAGGGTATAATAAGAGTTATGGCTTCTATTTATGCACCAGGCACTCTGGAAGTGATTTAAAAGCTAAGGGTTACTCTGTGCAACCCTAATAGCAGTGATGTGTTTTAAATATCATTACTACTTTGCAATTGAAGAAACTGAGATTTAGAAAGGTGAAGTGGCTTTCTAAAGTCACAAAGCTAATGAGGTGCAATTTCCTCACTAGAAGAGAAAAGGGACAAAAGCTGGGAGACAAATCTGACTGGCTCTATTCCTAAGTATTTATCCTGGAGCTCAAGTACTTTAACCGGCAAGTGTCTGAGCGGCTTTATATCTTCTTGTGGTAGAGAAATGGAAATGAAAGATTCAAAAGTTTGAAATATACTCTGCTTTAGGGAACAAAAATGTGGGAAGAATAAGTCTCCACATTGCCGTTGAAGCTGCAATAGCCTGGTAGCAATTTGCAATGCTTATAAGCTTTCCTCCCCCAGATCATCAACATATGGTTGCATGAGTTAGATTGGCATCCTTGGATGCATTCTATGCCCTTTGAGATTCTCTGAGTCTATGTAATACGTGAATTTGACTTATTCCATAGATGTTGGGGATAATAAAGTTGCCAGATTAGAGGAAACTTATAACGTGTGCAAGGTGGACAAAACACCTCTTCTTTCCAGATTGTTGTTTGCAAGTTAGTGATTATCTACAGTTGTGCCCGTACCATCCACTTTTATCAGTTTATTTTATGCTTTGAATTGATCAATCTACCTTAAAAAAAAGGATATATTGCAACAGCATCCCACATGAGAAGAAGTACATGCAAGTTCTTCATAAATTGTCCTAAACTTTTTTATAATTATTATTCTGTTTCATTTTGCATCCCATTATGATGCTGATACCAAATAGCCTCTGCATTTTTAAAAATAAGAATCCTGAGACAAAAAAAAATTCTCAAAGTCATCCAAAGTTAGTACAAATGATAAATGGTAGAGTTGGTATTTGAATGCAGACACTTATGTCTCTAAAACAGTAATTGTTTCTTTTCTGGTTCTTTAATTTCCCCTCTACCCATGATGCATCTTAATTAGTGCAGTTTCACCCAGCTAAAATGCTTTCTACACTGCAAATGCATCTTCCAGTTTTCAGTGACCTGGGTCTTCTGTGAGATCTTACAAAACGTACCATGCCCTTGTAAGTTCTCACTGCCTTTTTCAGGACTTAATGATCAGTTCTCTTGCAAGCTCTGCCCTCACCTTGAGTGAGGGGCATCATTCCACCCACTGGGCTCTTCTACGGAAGAACAGGGTAGATTCTTTGTTGAAATCCGCATCCTTTAAAAATCAGTAGGGTTGCCACTGTTCTACTGAGTTCTCGTTTTGTGTGTGTTTTATCCATGGTGAAGAGGCCAGGTTAGACATCAAGCTTCTTGAAAGTAAGGAAATGCTGCCTTTGTGAAGGTAAACCAAGGTGAGCACTGTCAACAGATTCCTTGGTCAGAATGGGCACCTAGACTCCAACTACTCCCCAAGATTCAGTGTCTAGTAATTATATTGTTAACACTTTCAGGAAGCCTTCAGGCAGAGAGTGAGAGCACCTTTAATACTGTCCTGCTTACCTTGCTGAGATCATGATGCTAGCACAGACCTTTTTGTTCCTATATAATTTTACTTCACTGATCTGAATATCTCTTCTAGTTCCAGAATGGCATGTCTTTATTATTGTCACTTTCTAATGCCCTCATATCTGGTGGGAAAACAGCTGACCCTTGAGTGGATTATATTCCTCATGACTGTCTGATATTTTCTACCCATTGTTAATGAATAAAACATGGTGCCTTTCAATTCTTTAATTTAATTAATGCTCTCCATGTTCATGTCACAAAATCAGGCCAGTTAATCAATTACCAGTAATTAACAGCTTGCTGTGCCCAAAAGTTTAGGGGCACAAAAAAATAGAAAATACAGTTTAAAAAGATGAAGAATCAATGGCTTTACAGCACATACATGAGTATTGCTCCAGCAAGAGCAGAGAGGTGAAAGGTATCCTGTTAGGTACAGGATGTGAGATGTGCTTTGTTCTTACTAAGCACAGCTATGAGGTGGTCAGTGGTAAGGCTGGGTAGGTGGAGAAGCAGTACCATTGAAAAAGAGCTCGTGCCCTGGTCCTCACATATTAGGACATGCTCTTCTTGTTGTTCTTCCCCATGGGGAGTATGCTCTGCAGGACCAAGAACACGTTTCCATCTGGAACCCATTGTCCTACCTTCCAGGTCATGCTCTGGGTCCCGGTGTCCCCAGAATTCCTTCCACTATGGCCCTGCATCTGCCCCTGTGTCTTGGGCAGCCTCTTCCCTGGGTTCATCCTCCAAGGTCAGGACATTCCACCAACATGTATTCGTAGACATGGTGAGTAGCCAAGGGGTGGCTGTTGGTGAAGGGTTGGAATGGAGTTTGAAGGGAGTTGGCATGATCCCTCATGATATGAAACAGGCCAGGGATAAAGAGAGAAGGGGATCAGGTGCCGATCAGGGACTTAGGACTTGGTACATGAACATAGAGGGCCTGGGTACCAGCTTTCCTCATGTAGAAATGTTCTGGCCTGAAACTCTGAGAAGTCTGATAATTCTAAATTTGGGTCTGGATTTCTAAGGCAGGAGAATATAACATATTTTATTTCTCAGTTTGTTAATGTGACTTATAACACATTTTATGCGGGCCTTAATTTCATTCTTGGCCCTAGTATTCTTTAAGGTGAACCCATGAAACTGTGTCCGTATGGTAAGGAAAATTACATGCCAGACTTTAGGCAAAAGTACAGTTAAGCATTAATCAGGTAGCCTTCTGGCCTATGTCCCTATAGCTATTCTAGCATTAGATACTGACCATTTGCTTCCCCATCATTTCTATAGATAGAATCTCTAACGTTAAAATCATAAGACTGTTTTGCTTAAAAATTAATTAAGATGTTTTTCAGATCCTGAGTACCAGCAAAATGGCTGATGCCAGCTAGTCTGAAGACCCCAAAACTAAGTCAACACAAAAATACAGTTTCTTCATCTCCCTGTCCCCTGATTTCACCTTTTACTCTTTCATTAATCCATGACCCCAGGTCCACAACCCATCCTAAACCCCTTAAGATCCCTATCCCCAAACTCCTTGGGAAGACAGATGTGAGATTTCCTCTTACCTCCTTGTTTGAATCCCTGATGATTAAACTTCTTTCTCTGCTACAATTCTTTGTGTCTCCATGTATTGACTTGCCACATATTGGGCAATGGAGCCTGGCACGATTACACCTGGAGCGGATGGCCTTACGTGGAGCATGGGCCCTACCTGGGGCAGTGAACATCTCTGAAGACATTTCCTTCGGGTGGTGAGTCAGGTATACAAGGATCCCCTTCTAAAGTGTGGAGCTTGGCATTGAGCAAGCAAAGCTGGAAGAAGGGAAGCCAGTCAAGGAGCTGTTGAAATAATTTATGTAGATGTCTGTCCCACAGACCCTGACCCAATGATAAATCAATACAGTACACTGACACAGATATTCTGCTTAGCCAGTTTGGCTGAGTGTCTGGGCCACTTACAGACTCCCAGAAGAGTGCTGTAAACAGTTGCGACCAAGGCCTCGGCTAGCCAGCAAGACTAGCATTTATTCAGTAAAGATTAATTGACAAAGGCTTGAGTCAACACCACTAGAGTGTAACTGACATTGCAGACTTCCCAAATAGAAAGTAATTAATCACCTGTGATAAATCAAAGGTTAGTCTTAGGACCATATGAGTAAACAAGCTAGCTAGATAAACTCCCCACATTCCTTCATTTCTACTCTAATTTAACTAAGGGGACAAAGCTGCCTTCAGGCAAGTACTATATGTAATAACCCCCAGGCCTTCCAATAGGGTTTGTGTATATTTTCTATAACTAAAATTTTTCCCACCAGCCTGACTGAACCCCCACAAATTTACACCGAAGATGACAAAGGCTTAGACTGAGATGGTGACAGTGGGAATGGAGAGTCAGAATCTGCAGGCTATTTAGGAGTGGTAGAGAAGGTGCTTCCTCTATCCCATAGGTAGGCACCAAGGGCTAAGCTTGCAGACCATAGCCACAAGTTGCTGGTGGGTGTCTTTCTCAAGGCCTGCATTTCAGACACAGTGGTTCCTATGCAGAACCATTTGCTCCAACACCTATCTGTTTTAGTTTCCCAGGGTTGCTGTAGGAATTTAGTGATTCTCACTAAATTCTCATGATTTTAATGACTTAAAGCAACATAAACTTATTATCTTGTATTTCTGGAGGTCAGAAGTCTCACATAGTGCTGAGCTAACATCAAGGTGTTGGCAAAGCTACATTCCTTTCTAGGTTCTATGGGAAAATCATTTTTTTGCCTTTTCCAGCTCCTAGAAGCTTCTCATATTTCTTTTGTTTTGTTTAGTTTTGTTTTGTTTTGTTTGAGAAACGGTCTCACTCTGTCACCCAGGCTGATGTGTGGTGGTGTTATCCTGACTCATTACAACTTTGACCTCCTTGGGCTCAAGTGATCCTTCTGCCTCAACCTCCCAAGTAGGTGGGGCTTCAGGTGTGCACCACCATGCCCAGTTAACTTTTCATTTATTTTTGTAGAGATGAGGTCTTGCCATGTTGCCCAGGCTGGTCTCAAACTCCTGGGCTCAAGCAATCTTCCTGCCTCAACCACCCAAGTAGCTGGGATTACATGTGTGAGCAACCATGCCTGGCTAAGTTTTGTATTTTTTGGTAGACAGGTTTCTCCATGTTGCCCAGGCTGGTCCTCAACTCCTGAAGTAAAGTGATCCACCTGTCTCGGCTTCCGAAACTGTTGGGATTAGAGGCGTGAACCACCTCTCTCAGCTCTTCTCACATTCTTGAGCCATGATCCCCTTTTGCCATCTTCCCAGCCAGCAATGGTAAATTGAGTCTTTCTCATAGCATATCACTCCAACCTGTTCTGCCTCCTTTTTCCAGTTATAGGGACCCTTATCATTATGTTTGCCTCATCTGGATAAACTATAATAAATCTATGTTAAGGCCAGCTGATTAGCAAAGTTAATTGCATCAGCAACCTTAATTCCTCTTTGCCATGTACTGTGAATATATTCCCAGGTTCTGGGAATTAGGACGTGTACAGTTTTTAAGGCCATTACTCTGTCTACCACACCTTCTTATAACTTGTTTTCTGCCAATTTAGGTTCCATTCCTGGAGACACTTATTATGAGTGATTTGGTTAAGCTACTTAGGCAAGATATTTTGACATTTTATAGAATTTGGTACAAAATCCGTTTTAATTATGTTTTAGAACTCAGTATAGTGTTACCTGAAAAGCCTCATTTGCTCCAAGTAATTTGAAGCTGTAGAACCCGCGGGACCTGCTGCCTGCTGAATGCATCCCCAGGGCTTGTCTTCCTGTGGCTGAGTAGACAACACTATTTGCAGGGTGATTTGAAGGCACTTTCTTCCTCCAAATCCTTGTTCCTAACCCAGGCCATGATTACAGGTCATTTCTATGAGTTAGGTATCTGTCATTCCAAAAGAGAACGCCTGTTAAAATTCAGTCTTCTAAAACTGGTTACCTGATTATTTTACATGCAGCACAATGAACGTGGCCCTCATAACCATCGCCTGTAGTCAGAAGGAGGGAAGAGGAAGAGGATGTTTAGACTGTGAGGTGAGGTGCTCTGAGAGTTGTGGGGTACGATTCTAGAGAGCACAGGGGTGCACCAACACAGGAGGAGGAGGCGAAACTGGGAGCGCCAAAGGCAAACATGGATGACCTCGTCGTTCTGGATCCTGCCCCACTGGTAACCAGAGTCTTTGATTCATTAAATCATTTTCTCCTCTAGGCATTCCCTAGGTAAAAAAAGTCAGATGCACTATTTTTATTGTTTTTTGATGCTTTTCCTACTGGGGAAGGGGAACAAGGATTTAAAATTCTGTCCAAAGAATTCAGCTGGAATCCCATGGAGTATGAACTTCATGGTCAGGGGAAGCAGCTAAAGATGATAGGAGCCCACAAGGCAGCCAGCCAGTCACCACACTCTTCTCAGGCCGGGCCCTGACCCCACAGCAGAGCCTCAGGGAGTAACTCACTGCATCATATGCAATAGTTTATGCAGAGCTTTACCGACAAAGCAATACGTGTGGTAAAAAGGAAAGACATAGAGCCTTGGACTTTTAGATGTTCATGAATATTTTCATAGTTTGCTTTGGTTCTGGCCCTGTAATTACTAGGCTGCTGAACAACTGGAGATTTATTGTGGAATTACTAATGTTTCAAATGTAGTTTCTATTGATTCCCTCCTCCACGTCTTTCTCTCAAACCTAAAAAATAAAATTGAAAAAAATCTATTCAATGTGTTAAGGGGGTTGCCAATTTAAGTTCACTTGAAACACACAATGGTCAAAAAAACCTTTCATGGTTTCTTCTTATGCTGAAGACAATTTAACCAAATTGTACATACAAAGTATGATGCTTTAGAGTACTAGTTAAACAATCAAAGGTCAAATTCATTATTTAATATAACAGTGGTGAAAGCAGTAATAAAAGAGTGAAGAAACTTCACTCTTTTATTATTTACTAACTCTCCAATTGATATTTTGAAATTTCAAATGGAATAAATGGTCTTTCGACAAATAAACAATCTGTGTTGAATTTCAATAATTTCAATAATTTTCTTTTGCATACCTAAATTAATTTGTTTTACAGATTAGAACCTCCAAAAGTAGCGTTCACTGTTGTTTATACGATGTCATAAAATGTCATAATATTCCCTGATTTAAGTTACCTGATTTGAGATTGGGCTGTGAGAATGATGTTGCTGTCATAAATAATGCTACAAAAATAAAAGACAAGTATGTAACCTAATCATAGAAAGTATACCAAAGGGCCCAGCATAGGTACTAAACACATTGCAGATTTGTCTTACTTTTTTCCATCTTTTTTTAACTGTATTTCATTGCCACTGAAATTCTCTTTGCAAATATTTTAGGATAGAATAATTTAAAATTTTTCTCTTGAAAAATACAGAAGGAAAAACACATTCAGCATGACAGCCTTGTTTTGATTCATTTAACTCGGAGTTTCTCAATGTCTGCATTATTGACGTTTTGAGCCTAGTACTTGCTGTGGGGGACTGTCTCGTTGATTATAGGATGTTTAGTGGCATCCCTAGCTCCTACTCACTAGATGCTCACTAGCAGCAACCTCCAGGCATGACAATTGAACGTGTCTCCAGATACTACCAAGTGTCCCGTGAGGAACAAAATCAGCCACAGCTGAGGACCATTTATTTAACTTTTTCAAATAACTAAAATAAATGGATATTACTGGATATTGAATGATAACAATTGTTGAAGTGGCTATGTTGTCTGGGGTATATACCTTGGGGTTTGTCATTGCACACCAGGAAAATTGAGGATGCAGACACACATAAGGAGTTTAGGAGCAGACGTTTAACAGGCAGAAGAGAAGAGAAAGAGAAATAGCTTTCTCTATAGAGAAAGGGGTCTCTGAGAGTAAAGAACCGGTGGGTGATGGATGGGCTGAGTTTTACAGTCAGGTTTGAGGAGGCAATGTCTGATTTACACAGGGCTTATAGATTGGTTCAATCAGGCCTGATGTTTACATAGGATTGGGAAGGCTGGCGGCCCCACACTAATCATACTATGCAAATAGGCTTTCCAGTTGATCCCTGCCATCTTGTCTGCTCTTCTTTACTGTACACGTGGCTCACAAAGAGAAGGGACGATAGAGCGGCCATCTTGAACATGTCTAGGCCCTAGTTCCTGCCAGCATTCCCCCGTGCAAGCTCCCAGTTTGCTTGTCTTTGACTGCAGCTCAACTTTACAGGCTGCTCCTTGTTAGAAAATGATTTGGGGGACAGGCGCGGTGGCTCACGCTTATAATCCCAGCCCTTTGGGAGGCTGAGGCGGGTGGATCACAAGGTCAGGAGTTCAGGACCAGCCTGGCCAGGATGGTAAAACCCTGTGTCTACTAAAAATACAAAAATTAGCTGGGCATGGTGGCAGGTGCCTGTAGTCCCAGCTGCTTGGGAGGCTGATGCAGAGAACTGCTTGAACCCGGGAGGTGGAGGCTGCAGTGAGCCGAGATCGTGCCACTTGCACTCCAGCCTGGGTGACAGAACGAGGCTCTGTCTCAAAAAAAAAAAATACTTGGGGCTGCTTTTTATTAAAGAGAAAAGCCTCACTGAGTACTCCCATACCCTTACTATCTGCCTAAATGATTTCTTCTTAACTCCTGTATCATTGTTAGGGATACAGAGAGTATGGGGACCAGAATCCTACATATATTTATCCCTTTTTCTTCTGCACTTTTTGCCTGGGAGAACATGCGAACAGGAAATAACTGCCAAATGAGAAATGAAGTGTCACTTGATCAATATCAGTAAGTTTATCAATCAAGTTTTTTATCTTCTAAGTTGAAAGTTCTGGCTTACGTTTGAAACCAAGGTGAGGTCTCTTTCTTCCTCACTCACTCCATAATCTAAAATGGCCATTGCCTTACCCTCTTAATTGCAAATTTAGAGGACTTGTATCAGAGTTGGGATAGGGAGAGGGGCTTTGGCCAGGTCTGCTGAGGCTCTGCTTACTTTAGAAGCACTAGAGGGAATGTGCCTCTCATTAGTCTTTCTAAGGTCCTGTAACTCTGTGCATAGTAAAGTGCTGCTACGGAATTCCTTAGACACTAGACAAACAGAATAGAAATTCCTTCTCTTGTGGTGAATGTGTTTGAGGTGGGGTGGGGGCGGGGGTAGCCAATAAAAGGAGTGTAGAGAAAGACAGAAGTACAGGAGTGTACAGATGCCCCCGGAAAGATGGAGGGAGCAGAAGTAATGTTCTCTTCATTGATGATGCTGATGACACTGATGTAGAGCAAGGCCACTTATTTTCTCAAGAAAGTACAATTAAATTACATGGGCAAGAATTTAAGGGCTTCCCCAGGGTGCACAGGACTCCAGGTGTGTCAGCACCATTCTGACAGCTCGATCTCATGCTGTCCCATAAAAGAAATACTGCACCAGTTAGTGGACATGATCTGCTCTCCATGATATTCTCAGGGAACTGAAGCTGGCCACAGGGACCAGCATGGCCCCATAGGTACAAGCCCCAAACTTTCTTCTGCCATCTGGTCAATCCTATTGTATGATAGGGAGTTACAGAGTTCCTCCAAAAGAGAAATTAGAATCTGTCTCCATGCAGGTCTCAGTCCAAGCTTGAGATAGTTCTCCAAGACAGCACTGGAGAACCCAGCCAGTCCCAAGCACTAAAGGGAGATTTCGAACATTTCAAGGAAAGTACTCTGAAGTGCACGGTCACTTGAAGCACAGGGCTCAAGACAGGGAGCTCAAGACAGGGGGTTCAAGACAGGAAGCTCAAGACAGGAGGCTCAGGACAGGGGGCTCAAGACAGGGGGCTCAAGACAGCCCACTTGGCTGAGTCCATATGCAATAACTCAAGGAGCCAGGGGAGAATCAAGAGCCAGAAGTCTGAAAGTGTTTATCAGAGATTTCAGCTGATGCCTATCACAGGGGAGATACAGTTTGGGAGTGCTAACATAGAGGGACTTGGTATCACTTTGAATTTACCATTGAACCTAAAAGGACCATGCCTTAACAGTGCAGACGGCATCCAAGGGCTAGGGAATAAATCCTAGGACTAGGGGCAGAACTGAAGCTAATTTGCCCGAAGAAAACCTCTGCAAGTTTAAGATGATCCATCAGTAATTTAATTGCCTGCTAAAACAAAACTCAACACTTTTCATAAGAAAATAAAAGAATCCAGAGTCTCTACAACACGATTCAGAATTTCTATTACACAATAAAAAAATTACTACAAACATAAAGAAAGAGGAAAATGTGTCCAATGGGCAAAAGAAAAAAAAGACAAAATAAACAGACCCATACATGCCTTAGATTTTGCAATCAGCAGCTAAGGACTTTATGCTAAATATATGTAAAAGTCTACAGGAAAATATTGATAAAGTGAGTGAAAAGCTGAGAATGTCAGGAGATGTTTGAACAGTGACAAAGATAACAAAAATTATAATTGGAAAACACATCTGAAATCAATAATTCATTGGCAGCTTAAACAAAACAGAGGAAAGGACTAGTGAACTTGAAGGCAGGTCAATAGAATAATTTAAAGTGAAGCACAGAGAGAGAAAGATTGGGAAAAAATGAATAGAGCATTAGTGACTAGTGGAACAATATTAAGCAGTCTAATTTATGAGTATGGGTAGTCCCAAAAGGAAACAAGGGCTAAACAGAATGTTTATATACCCCCGAAGTTCTTAGGTTGACTCCTAATCTATAATGTGATGGTATTTAGAGATGGAGCCATTTGGAAGTGATTAGGTGATTAGGAATGGGACCAGTGCCTTCATAAAAGAGACCCAAAGAGTTCTCTTGCCTCTTCTCCCATGTGAGGTCACAGCAAGAGAATGGTTGTGTATAAATCAGAAATTGGATCCTCACCAGACACCAAATCTCCTGGCACTTTTGCGTTTGACTTTCAGTCTCTAAGAGAGTGAGAAGTAAGTTTCTGTTGTTTATAAGCTGCCCAGTCCATGGTACTTTTGTAATAACATCCCAAACAAACTAAGGCAATGAGAGAGAGAATAAGACAGAAAAAATATTTCAAGAGTTATTGGCTAAATGCTTTTCTTTTCTCCAAATTTGGTAGAAATGCTGACCCATAGATTCAGGAATCCTAGATAGAATAAGGACGAAGAGCACCACAGCTAGATTCATCATAATCATACTCCTGAAAGCCAAAGATACAAAAGCAAACCTTAAAAGCAACAGAGAAAAAAAGACACATTACCTAAAGAGGAACAGCAATAAGGATGCAGTTAACTTCTCATGGGAAATAGTGGAAACTTGATGTTACTGGAATGGTATTTTGAAGTGATAGGAAAAATTTTAACCTAGATTTCTATATGTCTGGCAAAATGACATATTTTCAGATAATCAAAAGCTGAGATAATGTGTCACAAACACACATGCCCTATAAGAAATGCTAAAGCCAAGTTCTTAAAGCTGAAGGGAAATGATACCTGATGAAACAATTGAATTTATTGGAAATTGTGAACATGTGGGTAAATATAAAATGTTATTTATATATATTTTTTAAAAATTTAAAAGTTAATTGGCAATGTAAAGTAAAAATAATACAAATATATTAAAGGTTTACAACACATGTAGAAGAAAGTGTGCTACATTTCACAAATTAGAAGACTCAATAATATTAAGGTACAAATATTTCATGAATTAATTTATAAATTTGACACTACTCAATCAAAAACTCAGCACGCCTTTTGGTAGAAATTGACAAGCTGATTCTAAAATTTATATGGAATCACAAAAAAATTGAGACTAGGCAAAACAATCTTAAAAACAAAAAGTATCATTAAAAGACATTAATTTATTACTATAAGGACATAGACATCAAGACTTTATAATACTGGTAAAAATAGATAAATTGATCATTTGAAAAGATTTACAGAGCCCAGAAGTACATACATATGTATATATAGTGGTTGTTTTCAACCAAGGTTCCCAATCAATTCAATTGTGCTATATCAACTGGATATTCATAGGGCAAAAGAATGAGCCCTACCTCATTCTACACAGAAAGAGAAATCATAGTTCTACACATAAAAGCTAGAATCATAAAGCTTCTAGAAGGAAACATAGAAAAATATTGTGAGCTTAAAGTACACAAAAAACTCTTAGGACACAAATAACACTAATCTCAAAAAAATTCTACTTTATTTCTACTTCATGATAAAACAAGGACTTATACTCTTTTTAAAACACTGTTAAGAAAGTTGAAAGGCAAATTAGAGAGTAGAATAAAATATTCTTAATACAAATATCTAACAAAGGACTCATATGGAGAACATATAAGTGACTCATACACCTCAATAATAAAAAAGGCAAACAACCAATATTTTAAAAATAAGCAGAAAACTTGATCAGGCAATTTAAAAAGGATGATATAAAAATATCTAATAAGCATAGGAAAATATGTTCTAACTGTGTTCTAATATGATGTTCTAAACTAACATCATTAGTTTTCAGGAAAATGCAAATTAAAATTATCATGCAAATTAATATTATCATATCACTTTGTAGAAACTAAGATGACCAAAATTTAAAAGACTGACAAAACCATATGAACAACTGGAGCAACTGGAAGGCTCCTAGGTTACTAGCAGGAGTATAAAATGTTACAAGCACTTTTTTAAATACTTTGGCAAATACTTATAAAGTTAACATACATCTACCCTATGACACATCAATCTGACTCCTTTCCCGAGAGAAATTAATATTATGCCCACAAACATCTTGTACATGAATAGTCATAGTAATTTTATTCATAATAGCCAAAAAAGGGACAGTGCTCACATGTTCCTCAACAGGATGACGGATAAACAATTATGACATAGCCATGCAATGAAATGCAAATTAGCAATAAAAAAGAATGCATTACTGATATACACAATGACATAAATCAATCTAAACAATGCACAAAGAAGTCTCACACAAAAGACTGTAAATGAAAAAGTGTCTGAGGGGAGTCTCAATCCATTAGAGATTTTAGTTTGCCAAAGTTGAAGACATGCCTGGGAAAACCACAAATCACAAGAGCATCTGTGATCCATGCTTTTTCTAAAGAGGGTTTCAAGAACTTCAGTACGTAAAGGGAAAGGGGCAAGCAGGAGGGGAAAGAGAAAAAAATAAAAGGAAGGAGGGTTGGGTGTATTAGTGCATTTTGCCTTGCTATGAGGGAATACCTGAGGCTGGGTAATTTATATGGAAAAGAGGTTTATTTGGCCCATGGTTCTGCAGGCTGTACAAGCATGACACTAGCAGCTGCTTCTGGTAAATCCTCAGGATGCTATTATGGCAGAAGGTGAAGAGAGAGCAGGTATGTCACATGGTGAGAGAGGGAGTGAGAAAGACACTAGATATTTTACCAATCAGATCTTGTGGTAATTAATAGAGTGAGCACTCCCTCATTACCTTGGGTAGGCCACCAAGCCATTCATGAGGGATCTGTCCCCATGACCCAAACCCCTCCCATCTGGCCCCACCTCCAACATTGAGGATCACATTTTAACATGAGACTTGGAGGGGACAAACATCCAAACTAAATCAATAGGCAATGAGGCAAGCGGTTACAGTCTTGAGAGGCTTTAATTAACAATCAGTAAATCTATATTTTACTTGTGAAAAGAGGGAGTAGAGGAAAAAGTCAATTATGCATTCATTTCCTGCTCTGTAAATCTACATTTTACATGAGATAAAGTAAACATGTGATAAGCCGAGATGTGCATTCATCTGTGGGGAAGGGGCAGAGGGATGATTTCTACTCTAGTCCTTGTTCCATACTGTGAAGATAAGCTGGTAATTGAAATTGTCAGGGTGAGATTTAACAGAACTCTGTTTCAGGGCTACTTTATAGGGGGATTATGTATTTTGAAAGATCTGGGGGCCCACAAGAAATTTCCTCGTGAGCAATTTGTGAGGGAGACCATCTAGGGAGATATGCGACCTTATATTGTTGTGAGAATCTGGTTTATATATGTGAGGCTGTGACATATGGTTGTGAAATTACAGCTATCTGTTTGGGAACAAAAGGAAGGCAGTTTTTGCTTCACTCTGTTTCCAAGCTTAACTTTCCCGTTGGCATGGTAAGTTTGGAGTCCCAAGATTCTATTTTCCTTTGCAGGAGTATATACTATTTTGTTTTATTTCTCTGAAGTTCTAGAACAAACAAAACTAAACTATGGTGACAGAAAGACAAATTTCACATGTTCTCATTCATGTGTGGGAGGCAAAAACTGAAACAACTGAACTCATGGAAATAGACAGTAGAATGATGATTACCAGAGGCTGGGAAGGGTATTCGGGAGGGAGGAAAAAGTGGGGATGGTTAATGAGTGCAAAAATATAGTTAGATAGAGTAAATATGACCTAGTATCTGATAGCACAAAAAGGTGACTATAGTCAACAATAATTTATTGTATATTTTCAAATAACAAAGAGAGTAGAATTGGAATGTTTCTAGCAAAGAAATGATAAATGCTTGACGTGATGGAAAAATTAAAAAACAGAAATCAGAATAGTAGTGGCCTCCGTGTGTGGGAATAGGGGTAGAAATTGACTGTAAAGGGCGATGGACATATTCTATACTTTGTTTTGTATGTGGTTAAATTTGTGTTCATCAAAATGTACACTTAGATTTGTTTTTTGAGACGGAGTTTTGCTCTTGTCGCCCAGGCTGCAGTGCAATGGTGCGATCTTAGCTAACTGCAAACTCTGCCGTCTGAGTTCAAGTGATTCTCCTGCCTCAGCCTCCCAAGTAGCTGGCATTACAGGCGCCTGCCACCATGCCCGCTAATTTTTGTGTTTTTAGTCAAGACGGGGTTTCACCATGTTGGCCAGGTTTGTCTCGAACTCCTGACCTCAGGTGATCCACCTGCCTCTGCCTCCCAAAGTGCTGGAATTACAAACGTGAGCCACTGCACCCAGCCTTAGGTTTGTATTTTATTGTATGTAAATCATGATTCAAAAGCTGGGTTAATTTGTTGCTTTATGGTAAACGAAATCTCATGAACAAACCGGCTAACTGCCATTCCCCTCTCCTCTACCTTTTATCTTTTTCATCCGAGTTAAGAAATCTACCATCTTGGCAGTTCTGGCATATCGGGGAATGCCAACTTGAGTTCAACTTCAGAAGACACAATAGGCTTCCTGGAGGGAATATAGAGGACCTCAGGATACACACTTGGTCACTGGATTGAGATTCTTGAATGTTAGAAGAAAGATCCAGGTAATTGCTGTCTTGGATGACTAAGAAACTCGATCTATTGTGTGTTTACCTTCATGGACAAGAAAAAGGAATTCTGTCAAAATTAACTGACAAGTGACAAAAAGAGCAGTTTTGGAATGTGATGCTGTGTATCCCCAGGGAAACACATCATGTGTTCATAAAGAAAAAGCACTACAAGAAAACTTCAGCAGACAAAGCTAAATGACAGCCAAGATTCTCTGAGCCATTCAGTTTTCTTTGCCTGGTGAAAATGATCCTTAGGGTCCAAGCCATTTACAGGGTATTTGGGGTCAAACACTATTTCCCTATTGTTTTCTCTTGTTATCTCTTTAAGGTCTTGAAGAAGGCACGATAATATCATACTTCTATTCTTCACCAGCATTATAAGCCAATAGAGAAATGGGATAAATATCAGGTGAATTTTTATTGAGTAAATGGCGTTGGTGAATGCAGCTTAGATCTGCAGGCAAGTAGGCTTCCTAATACTTAGCTGCGATCCACTTAGAGGATTTTGGGGCTCAGAAACCAATACTCCAAAATACGGCATTTTGACAAACTGAACTAAAGCAGCCTCAAGGTCCCTCAGACCTCCCCCAGCCTCCACAGTTTCTCCCAAAACATGGGAAAAAGCTGCTCTCTGAAGTTCCTTTATCTGCCTAAAGTCCAGAACCACCAAGGAGAACAATTGGTTTTTCTTCTCTTTCCTGTTATCTCATTATCTACTGCAGGAAAGCAGACCCACATGTGACCACACCTGAACAGATCCTTTATAAGACAATGTCTGTCTCTCCAACTCAAATTCCAAAAAGAACTATTTACCAGTTAATCTCTGTTCCCCCTCCCTTCATTCTCCCTAGTAATCACATATTGCCCTTCAACAGGTTTCCTCTCCTCCCCCTTTCCCATCCTTATTTTGTCAGGATCCAAGCCCCCATTCTTTTGTCACCTCAAGATGCTATATAAGCTTCTGTACCCACTGTGGGGCTGTATCTTCATTCTGAAGCTTCCCGTGTATATATATTAGATAGATGTGTATACCTTTTATCCTCTTAATCAGCCTTTTGTGAGTTGATTTTTCAGTGAACCTTCAGGAGGCCCAGGGCCTGGTCCCCTGCAAGGCAGTGCTGGGTCACTCTGCCCTCCACCACCAGGCAAGGCTTCTGTGTGTAAACTTCTGCAGGGCTGACAGTAATCAACAATACGTTCTCTCTGCAGTCAGGTTCCCTTTCAAAAAGGAAAGAATAAGAGGATTAAAATAATGCCTTACTTTTCTTCCAAACTCCCAATCAAGGAAGACTCTCACTTTCCCTGGGTGAGGCTGGGAGTGTTTTGCTGACGGAGCTCCATCTACGTGGGAGTAGGGATGACACATCCCTCCCATTAACATTCTCTGCGATCAGGCTTGACAGTCCTTGACTCTCCACACCCGGGCTTGTTCAGCCTCTGGAAGCAAGGATGACTCATGTGTTGCTCTAGTCATCCCTAGTACTGTCTTCCTGTTGCAAATCCTTTCCATTAAATAACCCTGATTTGATCACCTATCTTCTCGGCACTATGTGTATACCACAGAGACTTTTTTTTTCTCATGTGCCAGGTGGTATCTTCTGCCTCTTAGTAGACCTTAGTGGAACCAGGGAGGCAGTATCCTGGCACAGTTGAGGCTCTGGAGTCAGACCAGGTTTGGATCTCATTTCCAGCACTGCTTATCAACATCAGCTGGGACAAGCGCCTTAACACCCCCTGTGCTTAACTTTCCTCATTTGTACAAATGGGATAATCATAGTCCTTACTTCACAGGTTTGTTCTGGCATATAACAAGTGCTCCATAAATGTGGTCCTCCCCCAAAAAACTCTAGTCCCATGCAAGGAACACACTATTTGGCATATTGGTTAGACCCTTCTTTCATCTTTTGCAGTGTTCGAGTTTCTATCTTCCCAGTCCCTAACTCCTTGATGCCTTTGGCTTTCCCTAATTTATGCCCTTATGCAAACTGTGACTTCGAGCACCTTGGGCTCTTGGCATCACCTAGCAGCTCCCAGCCTCCTCCTGATACCTTGTGACTCTGATTTTGGACCACAGCCTTGGACCTGGCTGCTGATTTTTTATTTTTAGTATCGACTTCGTGTGCCCTCAGGTTTCACTTTTGTTCTAGGCTGCTCAGCAAGGTACTTGTCTCTTTGTTCTAAGGAAGAGGTACTTCTGTCTGACTTTTGTTGAAAACTCCTTCCCTCTGCTCCTGATTCACATCCTCCAAGTTTTCCTGGTTCCTTCTCCCTGTGCCGCTGCTTGGAGTCTTCGGTTCCTCCCTGTGTCATCTTCTCTTCTCAGCCATTAAGTTGACCACTCCTCCCTTAGATGAAAAATAATAACACATCTTCCCTGCCTCTCCCTTACCATTCATCCCCTTCATCGGCAACACACTGAAAATACTTGTCCGAACCTGTGTCTCTCTGGCTGCCTATCCTCTCACACTCAGCTCACACTTGCCCACCTCTAGTTAGGGCTCCGCTAAAAAATATCCTGTGTGACCTTGTGCCATACCCTTGTCTTTGGATATCAGATACTCTGACAGATGATGCTTCCCATCTTCTGATTTTGGTTGGACCAAAAATCTTGTTTTTGTTTTTTTTTTAGACCAACTCTTGCTCTGTCATCCAGACTAGAGTGCAGTGGCGTAACCTTGGCTCACTGCAACCTCTGCCTCCTGGATTCACGTGATTCTCCTGCCTCAGCCTCCCGAGTAGCTGGAATTACAGGCATGGATGGCCACACCTGGATAATTTTTGTATTTTTAGTAGAGATGGGGTTTCACCATGTTGGCCAGGCTTGTCTCGAACTCCTGAGCTCAGATAATCTGCCCGCCTCTGCCTCCCAAAGTGCTGGGATTACCAGCGTGAGCCACCGCACCCGGCTCTGGACCAACAATCTTTAATGCCCCTTTCAGTTGTGTCTAAGACAGATGAACATGGTAAGGTTGGTTTTTGCTGTTAATCTCATTGCTTCATTTATAGTAATTCTCACTTAGATTAAAATTTTAAAGTAAAAAAAAATTCTAAAGGAAATTGTTCATAAGAAAAGGAATAAAAATGAGCATCATTTCTTGTAATGGAATGTAATACTATCGTATCTTGCTGTAATACTATGGGGTGCCTAATGCTTTGATATTTAGTATATTTCTGTGCCTGGAAGGCTGAAATTTGTATTCACTTTGTGATTTTAGTCAAATAAGAAAATGACATTTATTGATCTATTGGCCTGTTATAGCTGAATTTAAGGCAATAAAAAGAAAATGACAATAGTATATATTGTCTATAGAACAAATAAGAGAAAATGGGCTATCTTATTCTTACTTGAGTCTCAAATTATTTTATATTTTTCTAATTCTGCTCATGTGTATGTAAATATAGCTGACGATCACCAGGAAATAAGCTGGTTCTTAGTGAAAGTAACACATCAGATTTATGTTTGAGAATTATAGGCTAGAAAAATACATAATTCCTATGTTATGTAGAACAGTGAGGATTTTGCTTCTACAAGAACAAGTCTAATAGTATTTCTATTCTCTTCTTCCCTATCCCATTCCACTGGCTAAACTAGCTGTTTTCTAGTCAGTACCCCCAGGATGCTCTTCGGATTCTCTCGCTTCTGTCCTGGGGCAAAAGAGCCTTTACCTTTGGAACTTGAATAGGGAACATCTTGCTAACTCTTACATACACCATCCCTGTAAAAGTGGGCAGAAATCGCAGATGTCTAAAAGGGCAAAAGCTTTATAAGTGAGGAGGAATTCCAGAAACCTAAAACCGGAAGTAGGCAGTGTCGATATTTCTTGTATATAGTCTCTTTCAGAGCCAGTCCAGTGTAGAAATCTTCTCTCTAAAAGATGTCAGGCGGGTGGATCACGAGGTCGGGAGTTTAAGACTGGCGTGGCCAAGATCGTGAAACCCTGTCTCTATAAAAAAATACAAAAATCAGCCACGTATGATGGCGGGCGCCTGTAATCCAAGCTACTTGGGAGGCTGAGGCAGAGAATTGCTTAACCCGAGAAGGGGAGTTTGCAGTGAGCCAAGATCACGCCACTGCACTCCAGCCTGGGTGACAGAGCAAGACTCCATCTCAAAAAAAAAAAGATGTCAGGAGTAGGCATATGTGAGAACAGATTAAAGATAATGAAAATGTTTTACATTTGCATATTACTTTGTAATTTTATATATCATGTTGACTGCATTTAGTTATTTGACCAGTATGGGCCGTCACTCACCCCAGTTGAAGTTTTTGTTATATTTTGTGTATGGTTGTTTAAGGTGTTTTTTTTTTTTTAAATCAAAACAATATGATAGCACTTGAAAGCAGAATATGCCACTTTGGCATAAGGATTATTTTGAGCTGAAGGCAATTGAGAAGTAGATACAAGAAAAACTCTCTGCTCTGCTCTTATTTACCTAAAAAAGCAGGACCTAAATTTGTAAAGGCATCCTCCTTTCCCCTCTACCAAGAAGGACAAAGGTTTCTCAATGGAGATGACTTAGGTTCTTAGCCTGAAAATCAGTACCAGAGGAATTTACATAACAAACTTTACTAACCAGCCTTTATCCACCATATTTGCCTTCCCACAATTTGCTGCCTCTAAAGTTTCAAGATCCCTTTCTTTTGTCCTCTAATTTCTTCAAAAATTTATTGTTCTTTGTGAAGATGTTATATAAGCCAGAGTTCTAAGCCACCTGTTTGAGAACCACTGATTCTCTCTCTCCCATGTATATATGAGATATACATATTAATAACTTGTTTGTTTTTTTCTTGTTGATCTGTCTTATTACAGCAATTTCGCTGAAGATCTCAAAAGGTGATGATGATTCATTAACAAGATGGCTTGAATTGTTTCATCCATCAGCCCTTCTCACTTCTTAGTTTTGGTTCAATCTGCTTCTTCTGTCTAGAACGACTCTTTCAGCTTTATCCATCCTTCAAATTTCAATGCAAGCACCAATCTCTTCAAGAACCATTCCAGACACCTTCTCCCTGCACTGTTGTGAGTAATCTCATCTTCCCCTGGAATGATGCTTGATATCCTAGTGGATATGAACTGTGTCTCAGCCATCTCTACTGCTTTCATTATGGCATAGTCTTCTGAACATGATACAAACTCATCCCATGTTTTTGAAATGGATATATTTAAGACAAAAATGTTAATAGCACCTCCAGGATGCTGGTTTCCAGGATGAATAACTGCCAATGCAAAAATTAGCAAAGTCAAGTATAAATTGCCTACAAGAAAAAAACTGAGAAATAAAGGTTATAGCATGCAGAATAAACTGGAATGCAAATAATCAAAGATCAAATAAAATGCATTCAAGAAAGTGCATTGTTTATTTAATGTGTTTAATGTTATATTATTTTAGAGACTGCATTTTCTGTATCAGCAGCCACCCAAATGACTTCCACCTCCTCCACTTAGCTTAGTCTTTACGAAGATGACAATGACAGAATTTTCATTTCCAGCCTACCCACTTTCTGTATCCACACAGAATTAAGTGCATAGTGAAATAGTCACCTCCTACACTCACAGTCCTTTTTCCCAGGTGGCTGTGGAACCAGCAAAACAAGAACTTTCTTTAAAGAAATCACAGTGTGGTGGTGATTACAGTTATATTATAGCTTTTTGCCTGTGTGGATAGCATTCAAATAATGAATTAACTGTTGATCCATTACTTGAGAATTTTTCTATTAATCCACTTCCTGACAAATCTAAACAGGGGAAAATGTCTTTGCAAATTGCTGTTGAAAGTCCTTATTCTAGCTTCTGTGGATAGACTCACTTTCTAACTCTGCTAGTTCCTCTCAGGTTCATGACATTTGCTTCTATTCCATCATCCTTGAAAGAAATCAAACCCTGTATCTACCCAACCAAAAGAAGCACAGCACAGTTTTCTTGCTGTAGTTTACGACACTGTTTTATTGATTCATTTGTTTCTTACCAAGCATTGGCCAAGTAGGGAGGCAGGGAAAACGTAGAAGTCCAACCATGTAGCAAAGCCCTGCTCTGTGGCCAGCTGAGACTTTTAGTTGCAAATTATTGAGCATATCATGAGGCCTTAAGCCAGCTCCTATGTTGAAGTTGTTGGCCATCATCACTGGCTACTATTTTGCCTTTGTTATTAGTATCCCTTACTTGCCTGATAATGAATCAGACATTCAGATTGGACGTTTATTGGTTGCTCTCACATCTGTGTGAACATGTCAGTCATCATAGTATTTCTGCAGGGTGGGCATTACTCACCCCTGGGCTCAGAGAAATGAAGTGATTATTCAAAGTCTATTAATGAAAGGAATAGAATTGCAACCTAGGTTTGTCTGACTTCAGATGAAACAACTGTATGATCTTGAGCTCAGATCCTTCAAAGTGGAGAAATATGAGCCCACATCTCCTCTGACACTCAGACTTTTCATTGCATTCCATTGTGTCTCTTGGCTATTTTTCACTTTTTTCCCTGACTCTGTGAACTTTTCATTTGCATTCTCTTATGTTGTGAGTGCAAATCCCAAATTAATCTTGGGAGAAAGGGCAGGTAGAATGGGAGGATGAAAAGGAGGATTAGGAGTGGTCCCACCAACATCCTCCCTTGTACAAGTAAACAAAATGTTTTGCAGATTTCTCCTGCCTAGCTACAGCTTTTTCTTTTTCTATCCATGCTCATGACTGATTCTCCACACAAGCTCCCCAATAATTCATATATTAAGCCATGGGGCAGACACCAAAGTGCTGTAAAATTGATGGGATTTTTGTAGAGTTCCGTTGCCACAGGGTATAATTACCATGAAGACCTTTATGTGATTCACAGCTGTCTTTAGTAGAAAAAAATCTATTGATTGTATTGTTTCCCCATTCATCCTTGCTCTGGTGTTGGTAAATTGAATTCAAGCACAGTCTGTTATCAAAATGTGAAAAATCTACGCAGACATGCAGATTTAGCATTAATCATGCTAAGAACTAGACAATTTTCCTGGATACATAAGGGTTTAATAAGAGTGAAACCTAAAAGATGTCTAAGTTCCTCTAAATTTTATGTAGAGTTCACATGTGTGATATTTTATTCTTAGTTAACAGATGCAGAAAGACAAGGTGAAGAAAGGAACTTAATTTAAATGACTGTTTCTCTAGCAAAGGCCATTTCCTCTAGTCAAAATGAAACCTCTTTAAAATTGAATTGGGAATATTTCCAAGTCTTCTATTTATAGGACACGAGAGTTGTCCTCTGGAAATGACTCCACCTGGGTACAGTTGTCATTATCCACGAACAGAGGATTTTGCTGTGTGTTATGAACTGAACTGTGTACCCAATCTCCACATTCACATGTTGGAAGTCCCAACCCACAGTACCTCAAAATGAGGTCTTATTTGAAAATACAAATTTAAAGAGATGATCAAGTTAAGATAAGGTCATTAGGGTAGGACCTAATCCAGTATAACTGGTGTCCTTATGAAAGGGGAAAATTTGGACATAGACAGCCATACAGGAGAACTCCATGTGTACATGAAGACTGCCACCTACAAATCAATGACAGATCCTACCTTCACAGCCCTCAGAAGGAATTAACCCTGCTGACACCTTGATCTGAGACTTCCATCCTCCAGAACTAGGAGAAATAAATTTTTCTTGTGTAAGTCATCCTGAGGCAGGATAGGTAGTCAAAGAAGTGACTACGTCCTTGGCATGCAGCAATGGTAGTGACCGTACAGTCAACACAATAAGCCTTATCATTTGCATTGTAATCAAGCTCATTCAAGCAAAACTATCTTCAGTAGGGACTTTCCCTTCTAGAAAGCATGAGCATTTTGATTTTACTTGTCCTCAAACTGACACTTTGCTCATTATAATAGTAAAAAACACACCCTTGCGTGGATATTTAAGATGTTAATGTGACATGCAATCTATGAACAAGCATGTACAGTTACTGCGCAGGTGCACCCCAAGGACCACCCAGAACATGCTTACCAGTTACACCTGTTTCCATCTCCTTGTGAATAATCCATAAGGGGAGTCTCCCTAGAGCCAGTCTCTGCTCTCTCATCTTTATGAGCAGACTGCTCTGAATTCTTTCTCTCTCAGGGTGTGCTGTCTATTCTGCACTTAACTTTCAGAATATTCTTTTTCCTTTTCAATTAATTACTGTATGCTGCACTTCTTTTGCTGTGTGTCTCTGTTTCAATTCCTTTAAACTAAGAGGACAAGAACTGAAGTCTCACAACAGTCATCAATAATCTAGCTTGTGGTACATCATTACAGCAACCCTAGCAAACTAATATACCATGTCCCTCAATGTTCACATTCACACAATAATTCCGTGAGGAATTAACAGATGAAAAAACTGAGGCTCACAGGCTCACACAACAAACTCCATCTCTTTGTTCTAACATGCTAACAATTATAATGCTGACATTGGTTTAAGAACAGCTATTCCAGAAGAAAAGAAATATTCCCGGCTGGGCGCGATGGCTCACGCCTATAAACCCAGCACTTTGGGAAGCCGAGGTGGGCGAACCACGAGGTCACGAGTTCGAGACCAGCCTGGCCAACACGGTAAAACCCCATCTCTACTAAAAATACAAAAAAATTAATGTAGTGGCAGATGCCTATAATCGCAACTACTCGGGAGGCTGAGGCAGGAGAATTGCTTGAACCCAGGAGGCGGACGTTGCAGTGAGCCAAGATCGTGCCACCGGACTCCAGCCCAGGCAACAGTGTGAGACTCCATCTCAAAAAAAAAAAAAAAAGAAAAGAAAAGAAAAAGAAAAGAAAAAAAAGAAAAAGAAATATTCCCATATTAAATATATTAGCAATAATGAGATTTTATGATAGTATTAATTAATATTTTTGAGTGCCTACTGGTGTCAGGCATTGTTCTAAGTGCTTTACATGTTTTCTGGGCTTTTTGGGGTCTTTTTTTTGGAGACAGAGTCTTGCTCTGTAACCCAGGCTGGAGTGCCGTGGCATGGTCACGGCTCACTGCAGCCTTGACCACCTAGGCTCAAGCAGTCTTCCTGCCTCAGCCTTCTCAGTAGCTGGGACTACAGGTACACACCACCCCATCTGGTTAAATTTTTAAAAAATTTTTGTGGAGACGGGATCTCCTACTATGCTCAGGCTCATTGTGAATTCCTGGGCTTAAGTGATTCTCCTGTCTTGGCCTCCCAAAGTGCTGGAATTACAGGCATGAGCCACCACGCCCAGCCTAACAAACTTATTATTAAGTAAGCATTAACACAGACTGTGATGCACATCACAGGTGATATGCTAATGAGATTACAAACCAGAAAGTAATCTATCTTTTTAATATAGCCAAGTAGATGCAATCTACCACATGCATGTTCCCAGGAATAATGATAAACTGCCCTTATGTAAGAGAACTTGACAAGAGCCATTTGCTTAATATTCACCTGGTAATTGGGGTAGACATCTGTGCTGGTTAATTGCCTTTATTTGAAAGAAAATAAAATTTCTCTTATCTCTAGGACAAGTATCAGTCAAAGCTTACAGCAAGCTCCCACGGGAACCAGAAAATAGGGGCACTATCTTCCTTAATGTTTATATTTCCAAGAAATGCCTCTCAGGCCCTTAAGAAAAACATTGATGGGTTATAAAGCTCACAAGAAATTTGTTTAGCCTTTAAAAAGATTTACCTGTATATCAAGGGGACAGGGGAAGGATTTATAAATACTAGTTTTTTTTTTTTCTAAGAAAATGTTCTAAAAAAAAAAAAAAAAAAAAAAAAAAAAGAGGGGGAGAAGTCATTTTCCCTTTTAGCCGCAGGGAAATGTCAATGTTTTTACTCTTACACAGACAAATGAGAATAAGAATATCCTTTATATACAGGGAGTTCTTACAAATCAGCAAGAAAGAGATAAGCACAACAATAGAAAAACAGGTAAATGGTTTGAAGAGATGATTCACAAAAGGAGAAACTTAAATGTCCATCAAACATGAAGGCAGATTATTGCATTAATTATCAAAGAAGTGGACAATAGAATAAGATTTTATAATCACATGGCAATCTGACAAAAGTTTTGGAGAAAAAGGTAATACTCAATACCGACCCCAGTGTAAAACTTTCATAGTCTTTTCCGGTAGGAGCATAAGTTGGCACCACTTTTCTGGTGGACACTTTAGCAGGGAGTCTCAGAAACATTTTATGAAGGTTCAAAATTCTGCCATTATGGGCTGAATGTTTGTGTCCTCACCCCAAAAATTTTGTGTTGAAATCCTAGCTCCCAAGGTAATGGTAGTAGGATTTGGGGGAGGGTTTGGGAGGTGATTAGATCATGAGAGTGGAGGCCCCATGAATCGGATTAGTGCCACTACAGAAGAGGCCCTGGAGGGCTCCCTCGCCCCTTCCACCATGTGAGGACACAGCGAGAAGATGCCATCTATGAACCAGGGAGCAGGCCCTCACCAGGCACCGAATCTATCAACACCTTGACCTGGACTTTCTAGCCTCCAGAACTATGAGAAAGACATTTCTGTTTTTTATAAGCCATCCAATCTGTGGTATGCTGTGATAGCAGCCTGAACAGATGAAGACATCTGTGTTCAGTGGCTTATCCAAGAAAAGTATCAAAAATGTACATGATTCATGTATATTCTTCAAGGCATTTTTTAAAATATTGAAAAATGAGAGAAACTTTAGTTAAATTTTGGTATAGCCATGTGACATAATTCTGTGTGCTATTAAAGTCTAATTTTCATAAAAAGCTTAATGACCAAAAAATATTTACAATGCATGTTGGGTGAAAAGGTCATGAAGGCTGGGAACAGTGGCTCACACCTGTAATCCCAGCACTTTTGGGAGGTCAAGGAGGGAGGATTGCTTGAGCCTAGGAGTTCAATACCAGCCTGGGCAACATAGTGAGATCCTGTCTCTACAAAAAATGAAAAAATTAGCCAAGCATGATGGCATATGCCTGTAGTCCCAGCTACTTGGGAGGCTGAGGTGGGAGGACCACTTGAACCCAGGAGGCTGCAGTGAGTGATGGGTGATCACACCACTGCACTCTAGCACTCTGAGGTGGCAGGACATCTTGAACCCAGGAGGCTGCAGTGAGTGATAGGTGATCACACCACTGCACTCTAGCCTGGGTGACAGAGCAAGACTCTGTCTATCACTTTAAACAGAGAGAGAGAGAGATAGAGAGAAGAAAACAGCATGAAAAGGAGATAAATAGTTGAATTTATTAATAATCACCATCACTAGGTAATGGAGGTAATTATGATTTTACTTTTGTTCTTTTATTTTCCTCTCCAATAAATAGATATTTGTAATTGAGAAAAAACCCACATTTTAAAATAGAGTTATTATGCAGAGACAGGCTCACAAAAGGATTGAACCAGCTCACACTGCGGTGCGCTTCACCTGAGCTTCTGTCAAATTTAGAATCAGTTAGAGGTCCAGGCAGCATTCTTACGCCCGTGACCCCTCCACAAAGCCTTTTTGACAACTCCAGGCTGTGGTGACCTCTTTTTCTTTCATATTCTTAGAGCACCGCTGTGCAAACCATCTACTTTGCCCCAGTATAATCTTGTGTTGAAATAAAAATTATAGCTGAAAAGAGCTTTGAAGGTCATCTGGCTCAACCCCAAAATGTTGCACTGAGGTGAGTGAGCCCAGAGAGACTGATTAAGTCAGCATTTATTTCTGTATTTAGGTTTTCTTTAGCATGCAAGGGAACACAGGGTACTTAGATTACCTCAAAGTAGGAGTCTATGGGTCACCTCAAGGTAAGGACTTGGGAAGTGAGAAATACAGTGACATAGCTGGGCTTCAGGGACACTGGATATAATTAGGTCATCAGGAGGTAATTAGTGATCAGGTCATCTTGAAGTCTCTTTAATCACCGGTGGTCTTTACTCACTACCCCATTACTTTATTATTACAGTGATTCAATTGCTCTACTGTGACTAATCATTTTTCTTTACTGTCCTTCTCTTTCTCTGCTGGTTGTTTACTTACTCATAGTTTCAACTGCTCTCGGGCTTCCACTGTCTTTCTAGATATCTTTCAGCATCTGTCCATACTATTAGTGATTATGATCTTTCTACAAATCAAATTCAAACTCCTCCACCACCCCAAAAAGTCTGATGGGTTCAGGAAGTTAACACACTGCATAGATGCTCCTCCTTTGCCCATTGAAGGATGCCAGGTCAGGCAAATTCACATTTTCAAAGTACTGAGGCTCTTTGAGGTATACAGAATGTTGGCCAATTTGTCAGAAATTCTTCAGAAGAGGGCTGATGCACACAGGTGCTGAGGCTCCCTGAAGGGGACGATACACGGTGCAGATTCCTTGTTTAACTTCCTAATACTAGATCCAAACTTTTTCTTTTTCTTTTTTTCTGCTGGAGTGCAATGGTGCAATCTTGGCTCACTGCAACCTCCACCTCCTGGGTTCAAGCGATTCTCCTGCCTCAGCCTCCCAAGTAGCTGGAACACAGATGCGCTCCACTATGCCCAGATAATTTTTGTATTTTTCTTAGAGACCAGGTTTCACCATGTTGGCCAGGCTGGTCTCAAACTCCTGACCTCAAATGATCTGCCTACCTCGGCCTCCCAAAGTGCTGAGATTACAGGTGTGAGCCACCATGCCCGGCCCCAAACCTTTTCTAGCATGTCCTCCCAAGGGAATTCCAAGCACTCTAGCTTTCCCTTCAATTGCACTGGAAATGCAAAACTCAGAGGGTTGCACAGCTCCTCTCATTTATTGATAAAAGCAATAACACTGCAACTACTATTGGTAACAAATAATTTGGGACCCAGTTGTTAATCATTTTTTTGACGTGACTGTGACTCAAGAAATTAATAAATTTTCCCAAAGTCACCTAGCTTGTTAGTGGCAGGACCAAACTGGAACTCCTGACTCTCAGCTCAGAATTCTTCCCTGGGCATCATAATCAGGGAGAAGTCCAATGTATAGCTCTGTGCTACATGCTATTGATTTCTTTTTATTTTTCATTATTTATTTATTTATTTATTTATTGAGGCAGAGTCTTCCTCTGTCACCCAGGCTGGAGTACAGTGGTGTGATCTCGGCTCACTGCGACCTCCGCCTCCCGGGTTCAAGTGATTCTCATGCCTCAGCCTCCCGAGTAGCTGGGATTGCAGGCACACACCACCACGCCCAGCTAATTTATATATTCTTAGTAGAGACGGGGTTTCACCATGTTGGCCAGGCTGGTTTCGAACTCCTGACTTCAGGTGATTTGCCCGCCTAGGCCTCCCAAAGTGCTGGGATTAGAGGCGTGAGCCACTGTGCCCAGCCTGCTATGTGCTATTGAACTGTGAGTCAAGGTTATTATTAGAACAGATCACTATCTTTAGAGTCTTAGACTCTGTTTGGGGTTACACAATGGAAACAAATGAAATAATTAGGAAATTATGAAATCAAATCTCAAAAGCAAGAGCTGTGGTGTTTAATTCAAGAGATGCTAATTACATGTGTGTATTTAAATTTGTTATTAAATTGCATAAAATTTGAAATTCAGTTCCTCAGTTTTGCTAGTCACATTTCAAGTTCTTAATAATCATATGTTGAGGCTAGTTGCTACCATATTGGATAGTGTAGATAGAGAACATTTGTATCATTTCAGATAGTTCTTTTGGATTGTGCTGGGCTGGAGACCAAAAATCCAATGGGAGTTTAAAGATGAGAGAAACCAAACCATATAAAAGTGTCTTAGATTTCTAATTAAATTTCTTCAGAAGTTCTGCATTGCTTTCTGAATTTAGTGTGAAATCCTTGTCAGTGCAAAGGAATCCCCTTGAAATCTTATCTCTTGCCCCTCCTCATTTCCAAACTTCACAGCCATGCCACTTTTCTCTGAATAGAACATTCTCGGGATTAAACTTTGCTTTGACAGTAAAGGTACAGTGAGGTGGTCAGCTAAACATGATAGATTAAAAACACAAATTTGTCTCTTGAATCATACTAATATGACAGAAAATGAATTTTTTTTTTGTTTGGTTGTTTGTTCGTTTTGAGACGGAGTCTCGCTCTGCCACCCAAGCTGGAGTACAGTGGTGTGATCTTGGTTCACTGCAACCTCCGCCTCTCGGGTTCAAGCAATTCTCCTCCCTCAGCCTCTGGATTAGCTGGGACTACAGGTGCATGCCACCATGTCCAGCTAATTTTTGTATTTTTAGTAGAGACAGGGTTTCACCATGTTGGCCAGGCTGCTCTCAAGCTCCTGACCTCAAGTGATCCACCAGCCTCAGCCCCACGAAGTGCTGGAATTACAGACGTGAACCACCATACCTGGCCTAATAGTTTTAAATAAATGAATGAATTTAAAAACCAAAGGCATAAACACACAAGGAAAAAAAAGTCAACACGCTTACCAACTTTGGGAAGATGGAAAAGTGATGGACAAGTGGTAACTGAGTGGCAGTCAGGCAAAGATGAATCCTCAGCCTGTGGAGAATTGGTGTGTGGAAGCCAACAAGAAGCAAGCTGGTTGGAAACACAGAACTCTGGAAAGATCATGAATGAAGGCACTAGGTAAAGCTGAAAGCATGGGCACATGGTGGATAAGAGAACTAGGAGAGCTGACTAATGTCTTTGGAAAGGAACAATCCCCAGATCCCAGTTCCCACTCTACAGAGTCGGACTAATATCCCTCTCATGTAATGTAGCTCATGAGTAAACTGTAACATTTGAAGATTAAAGGGGGCACTAGTCATAGGTAATGCAGGAACAACGGAATGATCACATGACAAACAGTGTGCTAGCACCAGAGTCATAGAAGAGATATAAACTATGGTCACTGCTCTCAAAGATCTTTCAATCAAGATCTTTTATTCAAGATCTCCATAGCATTCAACCAATTTTACCATTCACTTATGAGTTCTATTAGGTAGAGAAACAAAAGGGAACACTAGGACCTGAAGTTACTGGAGAAAGATCAGAGACAAGGGTGATTTGATCTTGAGGGTGGTAAGATTTGGACAATGCATTTCTACCAATTATTTCTAAGAAGTCAGAATTATGTAGTGAATCCCTTTATTTGCACGCTCAAGAGGTCAAAATGAACACCCTATATTCTGTGGCATGCAGGTGAACTGAATTTATTAAAGAATGATAGCCTGCTTCAAACCTTGCCCTCCCTTTGGAGAATTTCACAAATAAATGAAATCTTTAAATTTTGTGAAATTCTTTTATTGCTAAGAATTATTTTGCTGTGGATGTAGTCAGTAACTTGTTTGTACTAAGACAGTGAGCTCAGTTAAACCAGAGAAAAGGGGATGGGAAATATAAATGAAACTATTCACATTCACAGAGGCACCAGGAAGCATGTCAATACAGAAAACTGGACCAATTCCTAACCACTTAAGACCAATTGTTTTACCTATGAATTCAATTTCAGGATAAATGTCCTAGCTCCAAATGGTTCTATATCATGGCAAAATATGTGTAAAAATATTCATTTTTTTAGAGAGTAGAGTTGGGGGCCATTTAAAAGTTATTATTATTTTTAACTGTGGCAAAAAAACACATAACATAAAATTTACCATCTTAACCATTTCTAAGTACACAGTTCAATAGTGTTAAGTATATTTCCATTGCTGTACAATAGATCTCCAGATGTTTCATCTTGCAAAACTGAAACTTTCTGCCCATTAAACAATTGCTCCCTCTTTCCCCCACTCTCTAGCCCCAGGTAAACAGTATTCTACCTTTTCTTTGTATGAATTTGGCCACTCTAGATACCTCATATGATTGGAATAATATAGTATTGTCCTTTTGTGATTGACTTATCTCACTTAGCATAATATCTTCAAAGTTCATCCATATTGTAGCATGTGTCAGAATTTCCTTCTTTTTTCTGGCCGATCAGTATTCCGTTATATTTATATATCACATTTTGTCATTTATTCATTTGTAGATGAATGCCTGGTTGCTTCCACCATTCAGATACTCTGACGAATGCAGCTATGAACATGAGTGTGCAAATATTTCTTCCAGATTTTGCTATTAATTCTTTTGGATATATACCCAGAAGTAGGATTGCTGGATTACGTGGTAATTCTACCTTTAATTTCTTGAAGGTATATGTTTTCCATAGTGGTTGCAACATTTTATATTCCACTAGCAGTGGGGCAAGGGTTCCAGTTTCTCCATATACTTGCCAACAGTTGTGGGTTTTTTTATTTTGTTTGGCTTTTGATAGCAACCATCATAATGGATATGAAGTGATAACTCATTGTGGTTTTAATTCACATTTCTTTAATGATTAGTGATGCTGAAAATTTTTTATATGCTTGTGGGAAATTTGTATAACATCTTTGGAGAAATGTCTATTTAAATCCTTTGCTCTTTTTAATGGTGCTATTTGGATTTTCTTTGTTCTTTATTAAAAACAAACAAATAAACATACAAACAAACAGGTTCTCACTCTGCCACTCAGGGTGCAGTGCAGTGGCATGATCACGGCTCACTGCAGCCTCAACCTCCCAGGTTCAAGTGATCCTCCCACTTCAGCCTCCTGAGTAGCTGAGACAACAGGTGCATGCCACCACAACTAGTGGTATGGTTTGGCTCTGTGGCCCCACCCAAATCTCACCTTGAATTTTAATAATCTCCATGTATCAAGGGCAGGACCAGCTGGAGATAGTTGAATCATGGGGGCAGTTTCCTCCATACTGTTCTAGTGATAGTGAGTGAGTTCTCACGAGATCTGATGGTTTTACAAGGGGCTTACCCCTTTGCTTGGCTCTCACTTCTCTCACCTGCCACCGTGTAATATGTGTCTGTTTTGCCTTCTACCATAATTGTAAGTTTCCTGAGGCCTCCTTAGCCATGCAAAACTGTGAGTCAATTAAACCTCTTTTCTTTATAAATTATCCAGTCTCAGGTATGTCTTCATAGCAGTGTGAAAATGGACTAATACACCTGGCTATTTAAAAATTTTTTTTTTTCTAGAGATGGGGTCTCACTGGATGGGTCAGGCTTTTCTCAAATCCCTGAACACAAGCAGTTCTCTCACCCAGGCCTCCCAAAGTGCTGGATAATGGGCATGAGCCACCATTCCCAGCTTAATTTTCGGTCTCAAGTTGTGAGAGTTCTTTATATGTTTTTGGGTGTTAACTACTTATCAGATATATTATTTGTAAATATTTTCTTACAATTCATAGATTGCCTATTCACTCTGTTGATAGTGTTATTTGACGCACAGAAGTTTTTAAATTTCATCCAGTACCGTGTGTTCATTTTTGCCTTTGCTGTCTGTACAGCTTTTGGTATCATTTCCAATAAATCATTACCAAATACAATATTATGAAGATTTCCCCTATGTTTTTTTCCTAAATTTTATAGGGGTTTGTCCTACTTGAGCTTTTAAATCCATTTTGAGTTTTTTTCTTTATGTTTTAGGGTAAGGGTCCAATTTCATTCTTATGCATGTGGATATCCAGTTTTCCCAGCACCACTTGTTGAAAAAAACTGTCCTTATCTCCAATGAGTATTCTGGCACCCTTGTTGAAAATCATTTGATCACATATGTGAAGGTTTATTTTCTTCATGTTCTTAACTTGCTTAAAATTATTTATTGAATTTCCCTAATACCAAGGAACAAAGAGTATTTTTAAAAATTGTTCAAGTTTGTTCAATGGATGCCTTTTTTCTTCAGCAGATTTTTTTTCTTTTTATGTCACACAAATATAAGACTCATCAAGATGAATAACACCATTTAAAAATTCATTCAGGTACAGATGTAATTATCTTTAACCAGACTCAACGAAAATTTGGATTTCCACAAATGGCAAATCAGAAATGATCATTTATCTTACTGAATCACCTAAATTTCCTTTTAAATATCAAAAGTATAAAAAGGAAGAAAAATTATTGAGTTTATATTGTATTCAAGGTACTGTTATCTCATTTAATCTTACTGCAACACAAAGAGGTGGCAACATGGGTTTCTCTTCCAATGGGGAGTGTATATTTGGCTTACATTTGTGCAACTAAAAAGCCTACCTTAATCTGAGAGATGATGGCAAACTAGAGATGCAAAGAAGAACCAGCACAACAAAGAAATAATTGTATTTCTGGCCAGGCGCAGTGGCTCACGCTTGTAATCCAGCACTCTGGGAGGCTGAGGCAGGATAATTACTTGATTCCAGGAGTTCAAGACCAGCCTGGGCATTATGGCGAGACCCCATCTCTACAGTTTTTTTTTAAATAACTGCACTTTAAATAGAATGTCTAAGGGAGACCACTGAAGTTCAGCAAGGGAGAGACAAAAATCCTCTGAAACACAGAAATTTGGGATAGCATCACAGAGAGGGAAGTAAAGCACTTATTTAAGATTGGCTTGGAACTAAGAGAGACTCCCCACTGGAGGGAAAGTGTAAGTGTGAAAGCTCCATCCGTCCCCATCTCCAATGTGGATGGCTACAATTCTAGCTACAGAAGGGCCTTACAGTCTGTACAGGCCCTGAGATCAGTATAGAGAGCTGTCTGGATCCATGCAGGTGTATTACTCCAGAGAAAGAACTCATGTTTGGTTCCCCCCCACGCACACCCCACCAGGACTCAAACTGCTATGGCATGGCACCATTTTAAGAACAGAGCTACTGCTGGAGTGTGTCTTACCCTGGAGCCCAACAGCCTCTACAAACCTCTGCCATTGTACTACCGTGCCCTCACAAAAGGCTGCAATGCTAAAACCCCAGGTAGACTCAGAGGTACAGCCATGACCCCAGCATGCAAGTCCATGCAGCACTGTATACCCCAGGGAATAGGCAGTCCAGTACAGCAGGAAGGCTACCTCCAAGACCAGTGAAGCCTATGTATGTGCTCTCCAGGGCCTGAGAACTGCCAGATCAGCACACACTGCTGTCAGTGACTGTTTCTTTAGCCAGTGGGGCTGCTACATACCACATGTGCCTCCCAGGGGCCAGGAGGTGGCATACTTGGTGCCAGCTGCCACTGGCAACCCAACCCTCACAATAAGCAGAGCCATTGCACCTGATGCACATCCCTCTACCAAGGCTTGAAAACTGACCTGCCTTTGGGCCCTAACCCCCAGTGTATCCACACCACTGTTTCTACAAATATCCAAATTCTAGACCACTGAGGAGTTCATAGATACTGCTGACTTTGATTGCAGCTAAAGAAATGAGAAGGAGACTAAACTACTGCACCTACCCAAAATCAAAACCAAAGCACCTTACCCAACTGACACGATAGGAAACACCTATAAGAACAAGTTTTTCCCTACTAAAGCTACTTCATAAAATTGAAAGAGGTGACTATTTCACCAGATGGGCAGATATCAATGTATGTACACAAGAAGCATGAAAAAGCAAGTAAAAAAGACACCTCCAAAAATTCCTCATTAACAGACTCCAAGGAAAAAATCTATGAAATTCCTTTGCAGTAATTCAAAATAATGACCTTAAGGAAACTCAATGACATAGAAGAGAATAAAAATAAATAATTATACAAAATCAGCAAAAACAATTCATGATCTGAATGAGAAATTCAACAAACAGATAGGTATCATTGAAAAGGACCAAATAGAAATCTGGAGCTGAAAAACTTAATGAATGAAATAAAAAATAAAGTCAAGAGCTTCAACAACCAACTAGATCAAACAGAAGAAAGAATTTCTGAAATGGAGATAGGGCTTTTGAAATAATAGATAAAAAGAAAAGAATAAAAAAATTAAGAAAGCCAACAGAACACCATTAAGTAAACAAATCTTTGTATTGTGGGTTTTCCAGAAGGAGGAAAGATGGGAAAATCATAGAAAGCCTATTTAATGAAATAATAGCTGAAAATTTTCCAAGTCTTCAGAGAGATATGGACATCTAGAGCCAGGAAGCTCAAAGGTCTCCAGATAGATTCAACCAAAAATCTTCTCTCCAAGGCACATTATAATCAAACTTCAAGACAAAGAGAATTCTAGAAGCAGAAAAAGAGACTCAAGTGACATATAAGGTAATTTACATTAGACTAATAGCAGATTTCTCAGCAGAAATTTTACAGTCCAGGAGAGAATGAGATGATATATTGATAAGGCTGAAAGAAAAAAACTGCCAGCCAATAACACAATATTGCTCAAAATTATCCTGCAGAAATAAAGCAAAAATTAAGGGAATGTATCACTGCTAGACCAGTATTATAAGAAATGCTAAAAATATTTATACATATAGAAGCAAAAGGAACAATGACTACCATCATAAAAACATGTGAAGCTGTAAAACTCACTGGTAAAGACACCCAAATGAGACAGAGAAAAGAATCAACTCTTATCACTATAGATAACTACCAAAGCATAAAGATAAACCATAGATAAGGAAGAAAGAAATAAAAATGTGCAAAATAACAATAAAACAATTAATAAAATGGCAGGAGTAGTTTCTTGCCAACAGAAATGACCTTGAATGTAAACAGATTAAGTTATCCAATTAAAAAATATAGACTAGCTGAATAAACAAAAACAAGACCCAACTATATGCTGCCTATGAGAAACTGGACTTTGCCTGTTAAGACATATAGACTGAAAATGAAGAATTGGAAAAATATATTCCACACAAACAGAAACCAAAACAAGTAGGAGTAACTACACTTATATCAGATAAAATAGATTGTAAATCAAAAACTATACAAAGACACAAAGAAGATCAGTACATAAAGATAAAGGTATAAATTTAGCAAAAGGACATAATAATTGTATCTATGTGTATATATGAATTCAACAGTGTAGCACCCAAATATATAAAGTAAATATTTTTAGATCTAAAGGGAAAGATCAGTCTCAATACAATAATATTTGGGAACTTCAACACCCCACGTTTAGCACTGGATAGTTCATCTAGACAGAAAAATCAACACAAGAACATTGGATTTAAATTACACTCTAGACCAAATGGACCTAGCAGACATTTGCAGAACATTTCATGCAACAGCTACAGAATACATATTCTTCTCATCAGCCCATGGAACATTTTCCAGCATAGACTACATGTTAGGCTACAAAACAAGTATCAGTTTTATAAAGTATCTTTTCTGACCACAGAGGAATAAAACTACAAACAAACAAACAAAAACAGTAACATGAGGACCTTTCAAAACCATACAAATACATTGAAATTAAACAACATGCTTCTGAATGACCAATAGGTCAATTTAAAAAGTAATAAAGACATTACAAATTTTTGAAACAAGTGAAAACAGAAACAAACACACCAAAACCTATGGTGTACAACAAAAGCAGTACTTAAGAGAATAGTTTATAGTAATAAACATCTGCATCAAAGAAGTAGATAGAAAGATTTTAAATTAATGATGTAATGATGCACCTCAAAAAACTAAAAAACCAAGAAAAAATCAAACCCAAAATTAGAAGGAAAGAGATAATAAAGATCAGAGCAAAAGTAAACAAAATATCAACTAAAAATACAAAAGATCAACAAAAGAAAAAGTTGGTTTTTTGAAAAGATAAACAATATCCAAAACTATTAGCTGAACAAAAAAAATAGGAGGCTCAAATAAAATCAGAAATGAAAAGGAGACATTACAACTAGTACCGCAGAAATATTTTAAAAAATCATTAGTTACTGTTAGGAACAACTATATATCAACAATTTTGAAAACTTAGAGGAAATGGATGCATTCCTGGACACATAGAACCTATCAACATTAAACAAAAAATAAATAGAAAACCTAAGTAGACCAATAATGAGTAACAAGATTGAATCAGTAATAGAAAGTCTCCCAATAAAGTAAAGCCCAGAACCAGATGGCTTCACTGCTGAATTCTATCAAACATTTAAAGAAAAACTAACATTAATTCTTCTCAAATTATTCCAAAAATTTGAATGAGAGAAAATTCTTCAAACTCATTCTACAAAGCCAGCATAACCCTGACACTGAAATCAGACAAGAACACAGCAACAAAAGGAAAACTGAAGTACAATATTCCTAGTGAATAGAAATGCAAAAATCCTCAACAAAATACTAGCAAACCAAATCTTAAAACACATCAAAATATTTTTATACTATGATCAAATAGTATTATTCCAGGAAAGAAAGGATTGTTCAACTTGTGCAAACAATAAACATAATATATCAGATCAATAGGATGAAGTACACAAACCGTACGATCATTTAATAGATGCAGAAAATGTAACTATTTCTTTATGATAAAATATCTTAACAAATTAGGTGTAGAAGGAATCTGCCTCAATACAATAAAGGGCACACATGACAAAACCACAGCCAGCATTATAATGAATGGGGAAAAGTTGAAAGCTTTTGCTCTCAGAGCTAGAAGAAGACAAGGATGTTCACTTTCAGCACTCCTTTTCAATATAGTACTGGAAGTCCTAACCAGAGCAATTAGGCAGGAGTAACAAAGAGAGGGCATCCAAATTGGTTAGGAGAAAGTCAAATTTTATCTGTTTGTAGATGATATGATCTTATATATAGAAAAACCTAAAGACTCCATTTAAAAACTCTTAGATTTGATAAATAAATTTGGTAAAGTTGCAGGATACCTAATTAACACACAAAAATAGTAGTGTTTCTATATACCAATAATGAATGAGCTGTAAAAGAAATTTAAAAGGAATCCCATTTACAACAGCTACAGAAAAAAAACCTAAGGATAAATTTAACAAGGGAGATAAAAAAATCTGTATAATATATATATAATACTGATAAAAGAATGTGAAGAGGACACACACACAAATGGAAAGACACCCCATGTTCATGGATTGGAGGAATTAATATTATTAAAATGACCATACTATCTAAAGCAATCTACAGATTCAATGTTATTTCTATCAAAATTCAATAACATTCTTCACAGAAATGGAAAAAAACAATGCTAAAATTTGTATAAAACCACAAAAGACCCCAAATAGCCTAAAGCAATTTTGGGCAAAAAGAATAAAGTGGCAGGCATCACAATATAGTCTTTCAATAATGCTGCTGGGAAAACTAGATATCCATATTCAGAAGATTAAATGAGAGCCCAATCTAGCACCATATTTTTAAAAAAAATGTGAAATGGATTAAAGACCTAAACATAAGAAGTACTAGAAGAAAACATAGGGAAAATGCTTCCGGAATTGGTCTAGGCAAAGATTTTATTGACAAAGCCCCGAAAACAAAAGAAACAAAAGTAAAAACAGACAAATAGGATTATATCAAACTAAACAGCTCCTGTACAGCAAAGCAAACAATCAACAGAGTGAAGAAACAACCTGAGTAATGAGAGAAAATACTTCTGAACTATTCATCTGACAAAGAATTAATATGCAGAATATACAAAGAACTCAAACAATTCATAAGAAAAAAAAACCCACCCTAAATTGTCTAATTTAGAAAGAGGAAAATGATCTGAATAGACATTTCTCAAAAGAACATATACAAATCAACAACAGGTATATTTTAAAATGCTCAACATTACTAAACATCTGAGAAATGCAAATCAAAACCACACTGAGATATCATCTCACTCCAGTTAGAATGGCTATCATCTAAAAGACAAAAAAGAAATTGCTGACAAGGATGTGGAGAAAAGGGAACTCTTTTATACACTTTTGGTCTGAATGTAAATTTGTATGATTATGAAAAATGGTATGGTGTTTCCACAAAACCTGAAAATAGAACTACCATGTGATCCAGCAATCCTACTACTGGGTATATATTCAAAAGAAAGGAAACCAGTATGTCAGAGTGACATCTGCTTTCCCATGTTTATTGCAGCACTCTTCACAATAGTCAAGATATGAAATCAATCTAACTGTCCATCAAGAGATAAATGAATAAAGAAAATGTGATGTATGTGTACAATGGAATACTACTCAGCCATAAAAAATGGAGTATAATTCAGCCATAAAATATGAAATCCCATTGTTCATGGCCACATGAATGAGCCTGATGAACATTATGTTAAGTGAAATAAGCCAGGCAAAAAAAGATAAATACTGTGTATTCTCTCTCACATGTGAAAGCTAAAAAAATTGATCTAAGTTGATCTCATAGAAGTAGAGAATAGAATAGTGGTTACTAGAGGCTGCAAAAGGTGGAAGGGAGGTGGGGATAGGAAGAAGTTGGTTAATGTATACAGAATTACAGCTAGATAGGAGGAATAATTTCTAGAAGTGTTCTATAGCACTGTAGGGTGACTATAGTTAAGAATAATTTATGGTATATTTTTAAATATCTAGAAGAGAAGATTTTAAATGTTCTCAACACAAAGAAAAGACAAATGTTTGAGGTGGTAGATATGCTAATTGCCCTGATTTTATCATTACACATTGTATACATGTATTGAAACATCACACTGTGCCCCATAAATATGTACAATTATTATATAGTAATTGAAAATATTTTTTAAGTCTTTTTTGAAAATTTCCAAACAATACAATAGCAACTCAAAGTGCTATTAAAAAAAAAAAGAGAAAATTTCCAAACTAAGAGTGTTTGTAACAAAAGAGATGATATCTTTACCACTAAAACCTCAAATTATCAGTAACCTCACACTGATTAGAAATAGATTGACTGTATGGGATAGTACAAAATAACTGGCTTAACCAAGATAAAATGTACTATTCTCTTATATAACAGAAGTCCAGAAATAGATATTCCGGGAATGGTGTTGCATCTCCACAGGGCTGAGAGCCCAGGCTTCCTCTTTCTTGCTGTTCACCATCTGCCTCCCAGCAAGGAGGAAAGAGAGAAATACAAGTACCTTCCCTGAAAACACCATGGCTACTTACAACACGTTGGCCAGAGCTTAGCCCCATGACCCTCCATAATAGAACAGTGATATATGTCAGTAGTTAGAAAAGCTTCAACAATGTGATAAACCCCTAATACTTTACTGGACAAACCCTGGCCAGTGTATGTGAGTTATCAACACCTTTTCCCAGTAATCTTTCTGAAGCTTCCTGACTTATAACTACAATCTCCACCTTTTCCTTCCCTGGTGAGTAGAACCAAGCCTTTTTTGCTTTCTGCTATTAAACACAGGGACCTCTGTCCCTCGGTCATCACAAGCAATTCCTAGAATGGTTCTTAAATTAAACTCCTCATGAAAGAAAGCCTGGAATTTTGATATATTCAGGAACAAATAAAAATCTTAATTTAAAATCTGATTTTTATATCTTTCTTCACCACAATACCTAGACCCATGCATTATTAAGAAATGTAGTCATTATTCCCTCTGTCCATAGATTCTATTACTAAAGAAGAAAGAAAAGATTAACACTGGGAAGTAACCACCAGTGTTTTCTATATCTACACCCTCATGGCCTTTCCTTGTTATAATTCAAATAAAGGCAACAATAATAGAGTCCTTCCTTGTGATGCATCTGATGACAAATCCTGTATGATATACCAAATTCAATAGGATATTCAAAAGAGCACAAATCTCAGCATGTCCCTTACCTGCTTAAATCCTGTCCACGCCTCCTCAACGCCCTTCAGAATAAAGAGACATATGACATACAAGGCCATCTCTGAATTGTCTACGTCCACCCCTAACTCAAGTCTCGTCACTACTTCCATTCTTTGCTCCAATCTCGTCCCTGTGTCTGTCCTTAGCGTCATCACTTGCAATTCCTCACAACTACCCTGTATTTGGGCCCCTCAGCCCTGGCACATGCTGGGGCCTCTGTCTAGAAGCTCTTTCCTGTTCCTTGGCTGAGTAACCACCATCTCATCACAGACCCTCAGTTGTAGACTACACTCGAATGCTCAAGAAAATCACCCTGCTTTTTTGTATGAGGGGGAAATGGTGCCCTTCACCAAGCTATTGACCCTGGAGAATCGAATCCCATGTGAGCACTTCCTGGATATAGCAGCCATGAAACGAGAATGTGACTCCTTCATCATTTTGGTAAACTTCTCAGTCATAGCAGGCATAAGGCAGAGGTAGGGCTGGATAATAAGACGTGGTGGGGAGTGGCTGAGTGCTTCATAATCCCTCGCTTGCAAATCCAGAATCCAAAATGATATGAACACCAATTTTTTTTTTGAGATTCATTGGACAGCAAAATCTCACCTCACCTGAACTCATTTGGCAGCAAAAACTGACTTGAAGTAATATGAGGCTACTTGTAATCTTTATTCCAGTTGGTGTGGATATTATATATGAATGTGTTTGATTTCAGTGTGTTGAATCAGGCATTGCTGCGAGTGAGAGAAGAATACGCACACATTTTAGAGAAAGCAGCAGGGAAGGAATTGACCCTGTGGGAATGTAAAGTAAGATCTTTGACCAAAAGATTCACGTCCACCCTTTACTATGTGATTTGGTATCAATGTCCCCTGGCTGCATCTTTGTCTTTTACTCTTCAGAGTGAGTTTGTTTGCCAATCAGACAATGCAAAATGTGTTGAGAAGTGAAACTTATTTTGGGAAATCCTGGGTGTTTTAGTCCCTGGGGGCCAATGGTCAGCTCCAATTCTTTTTTTTTTTTTTTTTTTGAGACAGTTTCGCTCTTGTTGCCCAGGCTGGAGGGCAGGAGTGCCATGGCGCTATCTCGGCTCACTGCAACCTCCGCCTCCCAGGTTCCAGCGATTCTCCTGCCTTAGCCTTCCCAGTAGCTGGGGTTACAGGCACCCGCCACCACGCCTAGCTAATTTTTTGTATTTTTAGTAGAGACAGGATTTCACTATGTTGGCCAGGCTCGAACTCCTGACTTCAGGCGATCCTCCCGCCTTGGCCTCCCAAAGTGCAGGGATTACAGACGTGAGCCACCAGGCCCAGCCCAGCTCCAACTCTTTCAGTTTTCGCTGAGTCCCCATGCCCTGCCCTGGGGGTGCTCCAACATATCAGGCAGGCATGCGGGTTTGCAATTCCTATAAGTTTGCTTGCTTTCTGGGATATGCTCCATACTTGCAAAGAGGGGGGAAAAGCGCCTTTCTAAATATTCACATGGCTAGAGACTTACTTTAGGTCTTGCATGCTTCATTAACAGTGCTCCATTACATTCATAGAATAAATGATGTGCTAACTGCATTAAAAGCAACCTTATACATTTAAAAATCAATATATTTCAGTACAGCCTCTAGAAGCAAAAACCTTTTTATAGATTTACTCATGTGCAGAGACGTGGTGTATGTTTTCTTGAACCTGGCAGTATGTGACCAAAGCAAAAACGATTAACATATTATTAAGCTATCACACAAGGACAGCTATGAGATTAAATTAGAGCTGTAATCCTATTTCTTCTGATTTCTGTGATTTCCAGACTTTAATTACTTACTCATCTTAAGGAAATGAGATATTTCAGATAATAAACAATGATTATCACAGTCAAAGATTTGCTAATATTTGGTATAGTTATTCCCAATTTATTATTAAGAATAGCTACTTAAAAAGTCAGAGAAAAATTCCAAATCTGCATAAGGCTGGCATAGTGCCCAGGAAATGAGCTGTTTGCTCAGAGGTAGCTTTAGCTTTTTCAAGAAATGTGTTCATTCCTTCAACATACACTTCCTGAATCTTTACCACATACCAAGCACAGAATTGAATATTGGAAATAAAACAATAAACTAGACACTATCTTCTCCCTTGAGGAAGTTGAACTTGAAAACATTGAAAACAAGAATAGAAGGAACAGAACACCTTTAGGACTTAATGATGCGCTGTCCTTGTACTATATTTTAATTTTCTATTAAAGTGTGGTGTCCGTGTCTTGTATCTTTTCTACTAGTTCCCAGAATAGTTTTGGGCTTACAGAACAGTTGGGATAATTAATTGAAAGGCAAAAAGTGTAATAAATTCACCATTAAGTGAACTACAGGGAAAGCCCCTAAAGGCAGACAACGTTTTTCTTTTTCTTTTTTTCTAACTGTTCATCTCACATAAAACTTGCCTAGTACTCCAGAGAGCTCTCAAAAATACTGATGCTGTGAATGAGCTGGGGTTTTTCTGTTATTTTTTTCTTACAGCTAGATTGCTAAACCCTATCTTTATGCACACAGGGTTCTGTGATGGTACTACTAGATTTTTTATGTATGCACTCTGCTGGGTTACCATGGTGATTATAACTTATCACTGCCTTCCCGTTATTTTGTTTTCTAGCTTCAATATAACCGCTTCTGTGTTCCATATGTGGAAAAAGAGTTGGCAATACAATGACAGGTCACTGTTCAAACCCCAGCACCATTTTAAAACTAAGAAATAACATTTTAAATTGTGATGCCATGTCTTTATAATGTCTTTTAATCCCCAAAGTTGGTTTTCATCTATAATTTTACACACAGGCATACCGTCTTTTATTGTGCTTCACAGATACTGCATTTTGTGTGTGTGTGTTTTGCAAATTGAAGGTTTGTGGCTACCCTGCATTGAGCAAGTCTATTGGCGCCATTTTTTTTCCAACAGCGTGTGCTCACTCTTCTCTTGCACCTTCAATCGTTATGTTGCTTTTAAAACTCCAAAATAGGAGCAAGCCAGGATGATAGTATGTGGTGAAGGGGATTGTCATAAAAGAGAACAAATGGAGTATGCGTTCTTCTTGGATGGCAGCCTGTAAGAAACTAAGATGGCTTGACATGTTTTAATATAAATGGATTCAGATTTGCAAACTTCAAAGGCAAAGCAATTTCCTCTGCAGTAAAATGCAGCCATATTTAAAGTAGATCATTCTTTTTTTATAGTTAAGAATAAGGAAAATAATTTCAAGATAGAACAACAAATTAAAAGTTTAATGTCCTGGTTACAACATCAGACTAACTCTGCTTTTAATATTACCTTTTTGGGAGTTCCTCATTTCTCAGTTTCAGCATAGAAAAACAAATTAGTGTAGATTTAAGAGATTTTAATCAAAGAAATGCAAAAGGAATGGAAGAGGGGAAATGAGGTGAGAAAGTAAGGAGGAGAAAAAATAAAGAAATGCAGAATGAGGAATTTATAGGTTGCATCACTCAGCTTAATGCCTTCCGTTAATAGTGTACCTTGATTAATACTTATTTCTCTGTTGCTTCTTCACAATCAGGAATCAAGCATAAGTTATCTGACATAAATATAGTGACAAACATTCCCCTAACACCTGCCCCAGGCTTGCAATATAGAGCTACATAATAAATGTTTCAATACTTTGGAGCAGAGATTTTTCAGATCGTTCCGTTAGATGCTGCAGTTTCCAGGTATAGTCATAATAATAGCTAATACCTGTGTAACTCTTACTGTGTCCAAGTCCTCTTCTAAGAACTTGCTATGTATTGTGTCTGTTAATACTTAAACAAGCCTGAGAGATAGGTATACTAGTAGCATACCCATTTCATAGATAAGGAAAGCAAAGCACAGAGCAATTAAGGTTAAGTAGTAAGTAGCAGAGTTGGGGGTCCTGCACCAGTATCCTTGCTCTGAACCACAGTGCTACACTCACTCTCAAGGTTTGTCCCAGCACTTTGGGAGGCTGAGGCGGGAGGACGGCCTGAGCTCAAGAGTTTGAGACCAGCCTGGGCAACATGGTGAGACCTCGTCTCCAAAAATTAAAATTAAAATTAAAAAACAAATAAAAAAATTAATAAATAAAAGAAGGTTTATTTGATAGGCATTCCCCAGCTTTGGGTCCCAATATTGTAGTATTGGATTCCAGAATACAAGTGTAATGAAGAAACATAAGAGAGCTCAAAGAGGTCTGAAAAGCAAGATCGATCATGAGAAAGTTGACTTATATTTATTTAAAAATTTCCACAGTGATTTGGCTTTGCACGGCATGAGGCTCTGACAATGATCTCTCTTTACCTGTCAAGGAAATTGGAGGTATGAGCAGTGTATATAAATATTTAGGAGGAAAGCTGAGGAGAACACCCAGAGTGGACAATCAGGAGTATATTCTGTGAAGGAAATCCTATTTCTCTAGGATCCCTAGGCTCTTTATATCTTGACCATTTTAGTGTGTAAGAGTGCTGCTAAATATAATCAGGGGTATTCACAGGACATACTTTTTCACACCAGACAAACACTGTTTTAGGCATTTTAGGGAAATGCTTCACTAAAGATACACACTGTTTTAGGCATTTTAGTGGAATGCATTTAGTGAAAGAATTGTAATTCTTAATTCCCAGAAAGGGTTGATAGAGGGTGAGTTCCAGAAAGGCTTGGGTTTCAGTACTCAATAACTGATGTATGGGCTACTTACTATGTGTAAGGTACAGGTAGAAATTGAGGGACACAAAACCCAGAGGCTTCAAGGAGCTTATATCCACATATGAGGAACTTATGTACTGTCTAAAATTGTGTACACTGTATAAACATGTATTACTTAAAAAATTAAACCTGCTTTTGGTTCTATTTTAATATTTGAAAATTTAATCAGCATTTAGAGGGGGTTGGTAGAACAGCCATTTTGCTCAATTGAGACCTCTGCTTACCCCTTGGATTCTTATAAAAGATATAACTTATTCAAATAACAACAACTGAAGATGAAATGACTGAAATTGCCCTCTTGGATCTTTCTCTCTAAGGTCCTACAGATTTATAGTTTGTATCTTGAAACTTAGCACTCAGTTCTGTATCACATTTTGTTACCTGTTTCTTAGTTTTTCCCCCCAAATAAATTTTAAATGCCCTGATTTCAGAGACCATGTCTTATACTTCTGCAATATTTATAAAAGTAGGGCTTCTGTGCTTCAGTCTCAGAAAGTATTAGACCTGAAGGTTGTTGTGTAAAGTCCACACACACACACAAAAGTCTTTTCTCCCTTTCCCTTCCCTTGCTTCCCCTCCCCTCCCCTCCCCTCCCCTCCCCTCCCCTCCCTTCCCCTCCCCTTCCCTTCCCTTTTGACTGGGTCTTGCTCTGTTGCCCAGGGTAGCGTGCAATGGCACCATCTCGGTTCACTGCAATCTCCACCTCCCGGGTTCAAGCGATTCTCACACCTCAGCCTCCCGAGTAGCTGGGATTACAAGCGCACACCGCCACACACAGCTAATTTTCGTATTTTGAGTAGAGACGGGGTTTCACCATGTTGGCCAGGCTGGTTTCAAACTCCTGACCTCAAGTGATCTGCCCACCTTGGCCTCCCAAAGTGACGGAATTAGAGGCGTGAGCTGGCCACAGAAAGTATTTTCAATTAACCTGTCTTTTGCCTCTGTTGATTAAATACCATGAAGGAAATACAGTCTTCAGCCATTTTTTTTAATGCTCCCTTTGTTTCTCTCCCATCCCTGCCATCCCACATCACTACAATTTCTGCATCTCTTAAATAAAAGACAAACAAAATTCTTAATTCTAACTCAATTCTAACTTTTGCATACATATGTCAAAAGACTTTTCTTGTCTTCTTTCTTTCCCCTTCCTTTTCAAAGTCAAAATAAGATTCACATAACCACAAAACCCACCCTTTTAAAAAGCGTACAATTTAGCAGATTTTAATATATTTGCAAAGTTGTGCAACTATCACCACTATCTAATTCCAGGACATTTTCATTACCCCAAAAAGTAGTCTTGCCCCTATCAGCAGTCACTCTGCATTTTCCCTCCTCTAGTCCCTGGCAACCACGATTCTACTTTCTGTCTCTATGCGTATGCCTATTCTGGACATTTTATATACATTGAACTGAATCAAAAACATATGGTCTTTCATGCCTGCCTTATTTCATTCAGCATAAGGTTCTCTTTTCTTTTTTTTTAACTTTTATTTTAAGTTCTACATGTGCAGAATGGGCAGAATTGTTACATAAGTAAATGTGTGTCATGGGGGTTTGTTGTTTAGATTATTTCGTGACACAGGCATTAAGCCTAGTACCCATCAGTTATTTTTCCTGATCCTCTCCTTCCTCCCACCCTCCACCCTCCAGTATGCCCCAGTGTGCACTGTTTCCCTCTATATGTCCATGTGTTCCCATCGTTCAGCTCCCACTTATAAGCGAGAACACAGCCTAATGCTTTCAAAGTTAATCTATCATGCAGTATGTATCACTATCTCATCCCTTTTTATGATTACATAATATTCTATTGTAGAAATATTTTACTTATTCGTGCATCAATGGATGGACATTTGGATCATACTTGCATTATTTTTTACATAAAATTACTAAATTATATTAGTTGTCTGTTGCCTCATATCAAATTGCCCCCAAACTTAGCAATTTTAAACAACAAATATTAATTATCTCACATAGTTCTCTGAGGGTCATAAATCTTAGCTAAGTGGTTCTGGCTCAGTGTCACTCATGTGGGTTCGGTCAAGTTGTGACCTGGAGCTGCAATCCTCTGAAGAAGTCATCATGAAGACCCACTCACATGGCTGTTGTCAGATCTCAGTTCCTTGCTGGTGGTTGGACAGAGGCTTCAGTGACTCCCCACATAACCTACTATACTCCACCTCCTGCTCCTCAAATGTTCACATTTGTTCCATGTGCAAAATATGCTTCCTTTAACACAATATCCCCAAAATTTGCAGCCCATTGCAGCATCAACTTAAAGTCCAAAATCTCATCTAAATTATTTAAGTCAGATATGGGTGAGACTCTGGATATGAGCTATCATAAGGCAAATTTTTCTCCATTTGTGGGCCTGTGACACTAGAAAATATGAGAAAATATTTGTGTTTTTTTGTTTGTTTTTTGTTTTTGTTTTTGTTTCTGTTTTTGAGACGTAGTCTCACTGTTGCCCGGGCTGCAGTGCAGTGGAGCGATCTCGGCTCACTGCAGGCTCTGCACCCCAGGTTCACGCCATTCTCCTGCCTCAGCCTCCCGAGTAGCTGGGACTACAGGCGCCCGCCACCTCGCCCGGCTCAAAATATGTGTTTTTTTCAAAATATAAAATGGTACAGGTATGAATACCAGTTACAAGCATTCCTGTTCAAAAAGGGGAAAAATGGAAAGAAAAAAGGAATCGTCAGTCCCAAGCAATTTCAAAATTAAGCTGGGAAAACAACATTAGGTTTAAGTCCTTCAGATAAACCTCTTTGGTTCACAACTCTGCCCTCTGGGCTTAGGGTTTTACCCTCTGGACTATCAGCTCTGCCCTCTGAGTTATCCTTTGCAATGAAGGCTAGCACGTGTTTGCAGCTGAGTAGTTTTACGGCCTTCTTTCTACCTGTAGACTTTTAGGAGTCCAATAGCCTTTCATTTCACGCTGTCTCCTTCAGTCTAAGTTGGCAGTGTTTTTGCTGGTATAAAATTCTCAAGGACAATGTGAGTCACTGGTATATGTCATGGAGATTTACTCATTAGACAAGAGGCTCATCCACAGGTCGTTTCTAGATAACCCCATATCTACTTTTGGCTTCTGCTGAGATAGCTAAGGAAATCCATGAATCACATGCCTTCTTCCTTCGAAGATATTTTGTTCCTTCCAAACCACGAGGGAAATGTTGTCCAGCTACTCCCCTGATTTGCCCTCCAGAGCAAGCTTTCCTGTGATTCTTTGAAGTTTAGCATCTTTCATAACCTAGAATGACTGGGAATTTTCCAAATCATCAAGTGCTGATTTCTTTTGGGTTAACAGTTCTCTTTCCTCTCACATTTTATAATGAAAAGCAGAGAGAAACCAGGCTGCATATTCAATACTTTGCTTGGGAATATCCTCAGCTAAATATCCAAGTTCGTAACAAATTCTGTTTTCCACATAACTGTAGAATGTAGTTCAGCTTAACATTCTACCACTATATGACAAGGTTGTAATTTCCTCCAGTCTCATTGTATTCATTTCTTCCTGAACCCTTATTAGCAATGCTTTAGCATCCATATTTCCACCGATAGCCTGTTTATGACAATTTCTATATTCTATAAGACATCATAGGTTTTCTCCACCATCCTGCTCACTTCTTTCTCAGTCCTCACTAGCAGTCATTACATTAATATTCAGAATGAAGAAACACTTACAAGTGTTTGTTATCAGGCTAGTATGACTCTGACACAAAACTAGAAAAGGACATTACAATAAAGAAAAATTATAATGCCAATATTCCTCAGAAACACAGATGCAAAATAACAGTAAATCAAATCCAGCAATGCATAAGAGGATAATTTCTTATGATCAAGATGCATTTATTCCAGGAATTCATAACATAAAAGAATCAATCAATGCTATTATGTTAGTAAGATAAAGAAAAAAATTATAGGATCATTTTAATAGATACAGAAAAGGTATTTCACAAGTTCAACACCTTTTCATGATGAAGTTTCAGAATAAACTAGGAATAGTTTCCTAACAGCCTGGTGAAGGCACTCTAGGCTTTTTCTATAATGTCCCTTAAAATTCCTTCATCCTCTACCCACTGCCTAAGTCCAAAGATCTCTCCATAATTTTAAATATTTGTTACAGCAGCAACAAAAGTATACAGTATAGAGTATTGGTATCAAAAGTATGGCGTATTGGAACCAAGATCTATGTTAGTTTCCTATTGCTGCTGTAACAAATTACCACAAGCATAGTGGCTTAGAACAACAAACTTTTATTATTTTACAGGTTTAGAGGTCAGTAGTCCAAAATAGGTCTTACAGAGCTAAACTCAAGGTAGCAGCTGAGTTGCATTCTTTTTGGAAGTTCTAGGCAACAGTTTATTTCAGTGCCTTTTCTGGCTTCTAGCAGCCACCTGAATGCTTTGATTCATGGTCTCCTTTTTCTATCTTAAAAGCCAGCAATGTAACATCTTCCTGACCCTACTTCTACCCTCATATCTCTTTCAGTAACCAGGTTCTCTGATTTTAAGGACTCATGTGACTAGACTGGGACCTTCTGGATAATGTAGAGTAGTCTTTCCATCAAAAAGTCTGTAACTTTATCACATCTGCAAAGCCCCTTTTGCCATGTAAGGCATTAACTCACAGGTTCCAGGGATTCTGACATGAACATCTTTAGGAGGCCATTGTTCTTTCTACCATAACATCTTCCATTAAATTTTTACTAGGCATTTGATGTTCTTTGATGCGACTGGAAATGTTTTTATAATTTCAATTTTCAATTGTTTGTCTCTAGGAAATAGAAATTTAGTTGATGCTTGCATATTAACCCGGTGTCTAATGATCTTTCTAAGTTCATTTACTACTTCAAATATGTGTTGGACTTTTGTATATTCTATGTATATAATTATATTGCTTATGAATGACAGTTTTAAAGTTCATGTCATTTATAATTTATATGTACTTTGCTTGTTATGCTAACTAGAAACTCTAGTACAATGTTAAATAGAAGTGCTTAATAAGGAACATCTTTGTTTACATAACTCAGGAGGAAAGCATTCAATATCTTACTATTACTTATAAAGTTAGTGATGAGTATTTTATAGATAACCTCCACCAGAAGATCTTTCTGCCTTGTCCTGATATTCCTAGTTTACTCTAAATCTTCATCAGGAAAGGGTGTTGATTTTGTGAATACTTTCTCTGTATGTATTAAATGATCATATAAATTTTTCTTTATCTTATTAACATGGTCAATAAGATTGATTTTCTTATGTTATGAATTCCTGGAATGAATGCCTCTTGATCATAAGAAATTATCCTTTTTATACTTTGCTGGATTTGATTTGCTATTATTTTGCATCTGTGTTCCTGAGGAATATTGGCATTATAATTTTTCTTTATTGTTATGTCTTTTCTAGTTTTGTGTCAGAGTTATACTAGCCTTATAACATGAGTTGGTAAGCGTTCCTTCATTTTGAATTCTCTCTGAGACAGATAGGCTGAGGAACATCACCTCATTCCAATTAGAGCTTGAGCAGGATTAGGACTGGGCACAGTTTTAGTGAGGCTCAATCCATATCAGTTTCACTTCTATTCATTTCTTTCTTTCTTTTTTTAGAGTTGGAATCTCACTCTATTGCCCAGCCTAGAGTGCAGTGCCATGATCATGGCTTACTATAGCCTTGAACTCGTGAGCTCAAGCGATCCTTTCACCTCAGCCTCCTGAGTGGCTGAGGCCGCTGTGCCCGGCCTTTAAAAAAAATTATTTTTGTAGAGATGGAGTCTCACTATGTTGCCCATGCTGGTCTTGAACTCCTTTCTCAAGCAATCCTCTTGCTTTGGCCTCTGAAAGTACTGGGATTACAGGCATGAGCCTTCATGCCTGGCCCTCACTGCTTTCTCAGGCATGAACCTTACAGAATTTTGATTGAAATACTGGTAGTTCTATTTCATGAGAATCCTTCATTTCAAAAGTTTAGAGCTGACTCTTTAGTCTCTCACCTCATGTAGTACAGAATCAAAATCAGGCAAATGTCTTAAAGGGATGGAGTAGGGAGTTGGTTTTGTTTTTGTTCACAGTGGGACATTGTTTCTCAAGCCCAAATGGGGGATATTTTACTCCACCTTTCCACATCAGGCTCCTAGCTTCCTGTACACCTTGAGATTTCAAGAAGCATTGCATGTAGGGAAAATAGCCAAGCATTTTTATTTCCTCTAGTGTCCAATCTGTCACACCATCCTGAAACAACTGTCAAGAGCTTTTCTGTTTTTTCTTTCCCTATATGTTGTGTTCCTGCATGGGCTAAATATGACCCTCAGCCCAGGCCCAGACTTGGCAAATGCCACCGGGGAAGGAAACAGCTGGTGGTCATCAGCTCACCTAGAATGGGCTCTTCTCTCCACAGAATGTTAGTTCACCTGTACTTGTTACTTCCAACATTGCCTGTTGTATTTAACAATTAATTCTTGTAATTTATCCATTTTTAGTTAGTTCTTATAGATAGATAAAATGTTAGCCTCCCATGACCGAACACATCTTACCTAGAATCAAAAGTCTTATCTTTAGATATTTTGGAATTTATATACAGTCATGTAATTGTTTAATAGTCAGAAGCATTTCCCAGTTTTAATTTTTATATGTCTTTCTTTTCAATTCTTATACCTTTTATTTATTTTTCTTGTCTTATTGCATTCATAAGACCTCTAGTATAATGCCCTATCTCATTCAGACTATCAGAGGGAAAGTTTTCAATATTTTAAGAAAGTTGCATTGTATTCCTGGTGTCCTAAAATATGTTATCATTCATTTTTTTCTTAATCTTTGCACAGGCTAAGCATAGAGACATTTACAATCACCAAGACAACTCCAAAAATCTTAACACAATGGGCGCAATTTTAACACATGAGTTTTAGAGAGTAATGCATTTGGAATATCACCTACATAAACAGAAGTGATTTTGGTAATTAAAATCTGCCTTTTATATTTAGATACCGTATTAGTTTGTTTTCACATGGCTATAAAGAACTGCCCTAGACTGGGTACATTATGAAGAAAAAAGGTTTAATTGACTCACAGTTCTGCATGGCTGGGGAGGCCTCAGGAAACTTACAATCATGGCAGAAGGCAAAGGGGAAGCAAGGCAGGTCTTTCATGGCAGCAGGAGAGAGAGCTCGCAAGGAAGTACCACACTTTTAAACCACCAGATCTTTAAACCATCAGATCTTGAGAGATCTCACTCTTACCACAAGAACAGCATGGGGAAACCTCCCGCATGATCCAATCCCCTCCCACCAGGCCCCTCTCCTGACACATGGAGATTAAAATTCCACATGAGATTCGGGTGAGGACACAGAGCCAAACCATATCAGATAGGTACACAGTCTATGTAATATTTTCCAAAAATCATGCTCCATGTATACATTAATCTTATGTTTTATTCATAACAAATAATTAGTACAGATCTGCTATTGCTAAAAACAGATAAGGATTCTCCTGCTAATAAATACTGTTAGCGTGCTTCCTAGGCGTTCTGTTATTATCAAGTTTATAAGGGGATATGACTAGGTGAACCCCTTCTTCCCTGGACATACCCCTAGAGAGGGCAAATAGATAGCACAACTGCTGCCTATTTCTTATTTAATTTTCACATATTAAATCAAATGTATATGCCTAGAATAGGCTACATTTGGCCATGATGTATTGTCATTGTTGTATTTTCCTGGGTTCTGTTTGCTTTTTTTCAGCTTTTATTTTTAAATTAGAAAAGTTTCAAAAATATTACAGGGAGCTCATGTAAACTCTTTCACCTGGCTTCCCCTAATGTTAACAACTTACATAGCCATCATGCAATGATAAAAACCAGGAGATTATCAATTGATATGATCCTACTAAGTAAACTATGGACATTATTTGAATGACACCAGTTTCTCCTTTTGTCCTTTTTCTTTTCCAGCATCTAATCCAGGATCCCCCACTGCATTTGGTGGCTGTGTCTTCTTCGTTCCCTCCAATCCAGGACCCTTCCTCCATCTGTTCTTGTCTTTCATGACCATAACACCTCTGGCAAGCACTGGTCAGCTGTTTTGGAGAATATATCTTAATTTGCATTTTTCTGAAATTTCCTCATTATTATAATGACATTACGCTTTTTGGGCAAAAATAATACAGAAGTGATGTTGTGTTCTTTGGTGTACATGATCTCAATATGTCTCATTACCTTAGTGTTGTCCTTGATAACTTGGTTAAGTGATGTCCATCCGATTTCATTACTGTAGAGTTACCATTTTTTCCTTTTGTGATTGATAAACATTATGAGAAAGAAACTTTGAAACCATCTTAATATCCTGTTTTTCCTCAGATTTTCACTCATTGATTCGAGCATACTTAGGAGGATGTTGCATGCTATTACTTTGGTGTATTTCTAATGGTGATTTTCTTCACCGTTTCCCATCCACTGTAGGAAAAGGAATCCTTATTCTGTAAAGGCAGAAAGTTTAACAGAATTTTTGTGGAAAACAGAATGTGTCATGCTGAATATATAGCTCAGGAAATTTCAAAGCAAAGATTTGAAGGTGCTGCCTGGCTTCTTTTTGGCACTTGTAATATGCAAGAGGAGGAAGATAAATTGAGGAGAGAACAGTTCAACAACAATAAAAAGAAAAAAAAAACAAGACTAGGAGATTTTGAAAATGTTCAGCCTTTCCAGATGGCATTAGGTGCTAAGTGTCAGAAAAGACTGCTAAAAGTGTGGTGTAGAGAAAAGGCTGGGTGTGTGATTGACAACACATCTTTTTCTAAAACCACAGAAATATCAAGAGATCACACAAGAGGCCCCATCAAGAGATGAAGGGTGTGCCCCCTCAGATCCTCTTAATCAACACAGAGGGCCTCTAGCAAACTTACAGGGCTGCCCCTCAGCTATCTCAGCAGAAGCCAAAGGTAAAGAAGGGCTCACATAAAAAAAATATTAGGAGTGTGGGTTTTGTCTAACGGAGCGAATCCCTGTGAAATAAATTCAGGATCCACAATGTTCTTGAGAAAATTGCTTCAGCAGAAACACTACCATCTTAGACAAAAAGGAAAAAAGAAAATATAAAATGAAAGGGAATGTGGGATCCCCCCAAATTCTGCTAGCAGGAAGCAGGCTGATAAATAACTCAACTGCAAACACCTGCTACATTTTATGAATAATTAAGGATAATTCAGAGGGTGGAGCCGTGATTGCGCCACTGCATTCCAGCCTGGGTGACAGAATGAGACCCCATCTCTATAAAAATAAAAATAAAATTTGTATTACAGCACAAGGGATGGAGAAGGAGTGAGACGGTGTGCACAGAGCCTAAGGGGTAGAGCCAAGTGCTTAGAGGGCAGGGTTAAGAGCCTAGAGGGTGGAGTCAATCACCAAGAAGGCAGAGCCAAGAAACTGGGGCGTGGGGCCAAACACTACAAATGATTGTTCTCAGGCGATATTAGTCCATTAGTGTGGCTATAAAAGAATACCTGAGACTGGGTAATTTATAAAGAAAAGAGGCTTTTTTGGCTCACAGTTCCGCAAGCTTTACAGGAAATGTGGTGCTGGCATCTGCTTTTAGTGAGGGCCTCAGGATGCTTACAATCATGGAGGAGAGCAAAGGGGGAGCAGGGGGGTATCATACGGCAAAAGAGGGAGCAAGAGCCATGCCAGGCTTTTTTAAACAACCAGCTTTCATGTGAACGAATAGAGTGAGAACTCACTCATCACCAAGGGGGTGCTGAAGGGAACCACCCCCAGGATACAACACCTCCCACCAGGTCCCACCTCCAACATGGGGGATTGCATTTCGACATGAGATTTGGAGTGGACACACATCCCAACCACATCACAGGCCTTGAAAAAAAAAATCGACATTTGCTTTGCTCTATTTCAGAATTTTATAAGCTAGTGGTTGCTTTTTACCTCCCATTTTTTCACTATTTGTGCTATAATTGTCTATAATTATCCTGCACAAGTCCCATCATATTATTTTCAGTGTGTTGGAGCCAGACGACTTGTCTCTTTAGTTCACAGGTCAGTGGACGGATTATACCCAGGGGACTCATTCTCAGCTGGGTTAGATGATTTGAATGAATTTGTGGACTTTGAGATAATGCTATAATGGGATGAGACCCTTGGGAATCTTGGGAGAGTGTGAATGTATTTTGCATGTGGGAGGAACAGAAATCAAAGTGAAGAGAAGTGAAGATGGCTTCAGAAGGCACTTCAAAGAAAGTGGGAGTAATCCTTTTTGTTAAACTCAGGTGATAAATATATCAGTTTTCATTCTACTATTTTTCTTTATATCTTACACACATAAATGCTTTCTTACTTAATATTTAATGAAGACAACTTATTTTTAAAAAATCAAAAAAATTTAAAACTTCCAGTTCAGTCTCACTACATAGTGGAGACTGCCAGTTGTTTGTCAACATTCAGTCTTTCTTTTCTCCACAGTGGTAGACTGATAGCTGGGTTAGTGTGCCTGTTACTATAAGTTCGCCAGTGGCAGGGGAGTGAAAATGAAGATGTTGCTTTCAGGCTTGGGCCTTCTCACTCCTTCACCATCTCTTGTGCTGGAATACAGAATTTTGTTCATTATTACTATTATTTTATAGACATGGGGTCTTGTTCTGCTGCCCAGGCTGGAATGCAGAAGTGCAATCATAGCTCGCTGTAACTATGAACTCCTGGGCTCAAGTGATCCTCCCTCCTCCTCCCACCAAGTGACTAGGACTACAGGCACACACCACCACCCCTGCCTAATTAAAAAAAAAATTTTTTAGAGATGAGGTCTCACTATGTTGCCCAGGCTGGTCTAGATCTCCTAGGCTTAAGTGATTCTCCTGCCTCAGTCTCCTGAGTTGCTGGGATTACAGGTGTGAGCCACTGCACCTGGTTGGAATACAGAATTTAATGGAAATTCAATGGTATGGATGAGAACAATGCTAGTGCCTGGTTTTTAAATTCTTCTCCAGTTGGCAGCATCTGCATCAGCAGCAGCTCCTGCTCATTAAAGATGCAGAATACCTGGCACCTCCATAGACCAACTGAATTAGAATCTGCAGTTTAATAAGACCTCCAGGTGATTCCTATGCACATTAACATTTGAGAAGTGCTGCTCTAGGAGATGGTGTAGAAACAAGATAAGAGGACCTCAAGTCCCTGAATGACTTCATGGAGCAGAACTGGACTGTTATGTAAGAGAAATGAAATTCTTGATGTCTAAGGCACTGTATCAATGGGAGACTTTGCAATAGTGATAGGAACAGGAGGCAGAGAAATTCTAGGCAGGAAAGGGCAGGCTCCCTGGCAAAGCCCCACCCCCAAGCCTGGAACCATGGCCCAAAGTGAGAACATGTATTTCTGTTTTTCCCACTCAAATGTTGCCTTTTCCAAAACCACCATGGCCTGCCCTGCTCCCCGTCCTATACCCATAAAACTCCTGACTCGACTGCCAAAGGGCAGAGAAGGGGAGAAGAGGAGAAGCAGCTGGACATTGGAGACTGTGGTTTGACATCAGAGAGAAGCAGCTTGACTTCAGAGAGATGGCTTGATGACGTTGCTTCAGAGAGGAGTCTGGCCGGGACAGCCGGACTCTGGGGGAAGATCACCTTCCCACTCCATCTCCCTTCCAGCTCCTCTTCCTGCTGAGAGCCACGTTCATTGGCAATAAAATACTTTGTATTCATCACCCTTCAATTTGTTTGTGTGACCTGGATTCTCCTGGATGCTAAACAAGAGCTCAGGTGCCACAGGTGCAGACACTGAAGGCTGTCACACTGACCCTCTGCCCTTGTGAAAAGGCAGAGGGCTCACCGAGCTGTTTAACACTTAACCCATCTGTGGATGGCAAAGCTAAAAGAGCACTGTAACACACACCTTCTGGGGCTTCAGGGATTGCAGGTACCCCTCTAGGCGCTGCCACAGAGCTGCACAAAGTTTTGCTCCTGCCAGCACCCAAAAGCACTCATTGTGGCTCCTGCACCCACTCACCTGTGGCGGGCTGAGTAAGCGAGGCACCCCTGTCACAAGGCCTGCAAAGGGGTCAAGGAAATTTTCCTGTGTCAATAGCAGATTAGCTTCACTGAGCACAAGTGGTTTGCCTTCCATCCTCAATAGTCCCCAGCTACTCTGGAGGCTGAGGCACAAGAATCACTTGAACTCTGAAGGTGAAGGTTGCAGTGAGCCAAGATCATGCCACTGCACTTCAGCCTGGGCAACAGAGTGAAGCTGTCTCAAAATAAATAAATTAATTAATTAATAAAAAATAGCCCCCATTAGCGAGTCTAATTGAGAGACTGAACAAAATAAGTGAAAGTTGAGGCTTCCAATGTAGATAATGTTGGTTCTGAAAGTAAATTCCTCTTAGTTTTTGGAATCTTCAGGGACTATAACTCAATAGCTTGCTACCTGTCTTCTTGCCATCAGAGGAAGCCAAGCAAACAGTCCCCATGTTCACATTAGGTTCCCAATCAGTATTTCCCATCAAGGGAGAAGCTTAGGCTGGGGAATCCTGCATACATAATTCATACCCATTATCTCAGGCTTGCTTTCTTCAACTTAAGTAGATAGGTGTATATAAAGAGACCACAGCATGAAGAAGAAAGATTAAAATAAAGATTAAAATGGGCCCTGGAGGAAACAGATAGTGCAGAGCACATAATGTAACTGAATAAAAGCTTTTGCTCTGATACTTAGCAAGAATCAAAAGGATATTTCAGCCATTAAACAATAGCAAGTCTATGAAAATAGAACAGAGAACATAAAGTTTATGTTTTTAGACATTAAGTTTATGCTTTTAAGTTTAAAAATGAGTAAAATAGAAAGCAAAGTAAAAGACATCTCACAAAACACAGAGCCACAAGGAAAGTGATGAAAAAATTTGAGTAAAAAATAGGCCTAGGAAATTCTGGATTTGAATAATAATGGGATTTCCTATTTTTGTTTTTGTTGCATTTGCTTTTGGGGTCTTAGTCAAAACTTATTTGACTAGGCCAATGTCCAGAAGAGTTTTTCCGAGGTTTTCTTCTAGGATTTCTATAGTTTCAGGTCAAGCATTTATGTTTCTAATTCATCTTAATTTTTATATATGGTAAGAGGGCTGGAGTTTCATTCTTCTGCATACGGCTAGCTAATTTTCCCAGCACCATTTATTGAATAGGGTGTTCTTTCCCCATTGTTTATTTTTGTTGACTTTGTCAAAGATAAGTTGGTTGTAGGCGTGTGGTTTTATTTTTGGATTCTCTATTCTATTTCATTGATCTATGTGTCTTTTACACAGCAAAATAAATAATCAACTGAGTAAACACACAGCCTACAGAATGGGAGAAAATATTTGCAATCTATGTCTCTGACAAAGAAGTAATAACCAGAATCTGTAAGAAACTTGGACAAAGCAACAAGATAAAAACAAACAATCCCATTAAAAACTGGACAAATGATAGGAACAGACATTTCTCAAAAAAAGGCATACAAGTGGCCCATAAACATAAAAACAATGCTCAACATCACTAATCATCAGAGAGATGCAAATTAAAATCACAATGAGATGCCATATCACACCAATCAGAAAGGCAATTACTAAAAAGTCAAAAAACAACAGATGTTGATGTGAATGCAGAGAAAAGGAAACACACATTGTTGGTGGGAACACAAATTAGCATAACCTCTATGGGAAACAATATGGAGATTTCTCAACTAAAAATAGGACTATCATTTGACCCAGAAATCCCCACTTTGGTCATCTACCCAGAGGAAATTAAATCATTATATAAAAAAGAAACCTGAACTTGTATGTTTATCACAGCACTATTCACAAAAGCAAAGTCATGGAATTAACCTATGGGTCCATCAACAGTTGATAGGATAAGTCAACTGGATAAAGAAAATGTGGCGTGTTTACAGCATGGAATACTATGCAGCCATAAAAAAGAATAAAATCATGTCCTTTGCAACATTAAGGGTGGAGCCAGAGGCCATTATCCTAAGTAAAATAACTCAGAAACAGGAAATCAAATACCACATGTTCTCACTTATAAATGGGAACTAGACAACGGGGTATACATAGACATAATGATGAAAATTATAGACCCTGAAGACTTCAAAAGGGACAGAGCAGGGGGAGTGAGGGTTGAAAATTTACCTATTTGGTATCATGTTCACAGTTTCAGTGATGAGTATGCTAGAAGCCCAAACCACATTGTTAAAAAATATATCCATGTAATAAACCTGCACATGTACCCCTGAATCTAAAATCATAATCATAATTATAATGGATTTCCAAAAACAGTAGATAGAATGGAGGCAGAAATTATCAAATAAACAGGTGACTTTCATTAGAGCTGAAAAAAGACCTGTCTTCAAATAGAAAGGACTTATTAAGTGCCAAGCAAGATGGATATTTGCAAAGCTATAGACACTGAGAATAAAGAGAAAAATCTTAAAATTTCTCCAAGAGGAAAACGAGTCACTCAAAACAGAGGAGGAGTGAGCCCTGACATCATATTTCTGATCAATTTCACTGTGTGTTGGAGAAATGGAACAATGCCTTCAAAGCTGTAATAGAAAATGATTTTATGCAGCATCGTATGTTTCGGCCACACTAGCAACTCGAAGACTGAACTAAAGATATTTTCACACATTTGAGTTAACCTCTCATTCTTTCTCTTTTCTTTGGGAGCTACCTGAAGATGTACTCTAGAGCACTAGAAAATCACCCCGGAAAGTGGAAGGTATGGGGTACCAGGAACAGGGGTTTCTGCCAGGAAAGCAGCAAAGTCTCAGAGTGAACACTGTGCTGCAGAGCTAAAGATTCACCAGCGCTGTTTGGAGTAGGAAGACCGGAGCACCAGAGGGATTGCCAGGGAAAATGTCACTCCCCAGAACAACACGTAGTGTGATTGAAAGGATAGAAAAACTTTTTATAATAAAGGTACTTAATGCAAGGTGGAAGAATAATGAAAAACTTCAGGATAACAAAAACTATAGTGAAAAAAACCCACTTGTCCAAATAGAAAGCAAACTGAAATGTGGCCTAGTTGTATGTAACTGACGGAGTATAATAAAATAAAATCCACTGATGTAATAAACATTTTTCTTTAAGTGGTTCTGGGATCCTAACATTGGTCTCTTAGAGAATGAAACATTATGCTAGCATACTCCTTGGTCCTGCCGTGAACAGTATTTACAAAATCATAATAATATAAATATTATTTACTAGAATTGAACTTCTAGAACCAAGTTATGGACAGCACTGAAGATTTGGTCATAGTTTCAGAATGGAATTCTTCCACTGAAGGATGAAGGATCAAGTGGTTACTATTTGCCATGTACCATCCCAGGCTTTGAGGATACAGCAATGAATAAAGATGGAAGAGAGAGAGGAGGAGGAGGAGGAAAATCCCTAAGTTCATAAAGCTTAAGTATGTTAGCAGCTTTGACAGCCTGTTGTTTTTGAGCGCTGCCAAAACTCCCCTCCCTCAGCTGGGTGGGTCCTAGAAAGTCCGAGTCCTTCCTGGGACCTACCACTTGACAGCCTTAGCACCGCAAGAGGGGACACAATGATTGCTATCACTCCCCTTAATGAGAAGTACCAATCACAGTGAAATTGACTGTATTTTGAAGGTCTCACTCAGGTGAATGGCTTGTCACCGAGAGGCGGAGAGGGGTAACCTGTGCCTGGAGAGGGGTAACCTGTGCCTGGGGGTGCACTGGATCAGTGCAGAGGCTGAGCAGATCGCAAGAGGGACATCACAGTCTGACTGCCCACTGCGTTAGTGAGGCAGCACCGAGAGAGGTCCTGGCACGTCGCCGATAACAATCTCTCTGCGCCGCCTTCCTTTGCTTTCTCCCTGACTCTAAGGGACCTTAATTACGACCCTAATTAACTCGCAGCAGGGGCCACTCTGGACCACCAGGAGCTTGTCAGGTAAACATCAGAAGAGAGAGGAAAAACATTTCAGCCGCTTCTAAACACAGGCCATTAAGGTTTTATTTAAAAGAAAAAGGAGAGAAAGGGAGTGATAATCTGGTGTTTACTGGCATCCCAAGAAGAGGCTACTGCCTAGAGGCACCCGGCTGCTTACCACTCTTTTCCTCTCATCAACCAGAGACAGAAACCAAAATTGCTGCTTCCAGATTTAAAAGCCTAAAACAACAGCAATCTCCCAAACAACAACAAAGCTACAAGTCCAAGGATTAAAAAAAAAAAGGAAACTTAAAACATTTTCTACCAAGCAAATGCGAGGTCTAGCACATAGAATGCAATGCTAACCCTAGATTATTTACTGGTTTGTAAACAAACCCTTAGATATGGGGGGGAGGATAAAAGGTAATTAAATCAATCATATATACATATACAAAATATTTTAGTATAAATATATGATAAATTCTGTATATGTATATATAATATATAGGTAAATTGAAACAAAGTTCTCTAATTATTAAACGAGAAATCCAAAATTTATATAGTAAATTTATACACTCAATAATTTATGTAACAAAAATGATTTTAAGAAGCTCTGATTGACTTATGTATCTATACAACATAGTTTCTAACTTAACTTCAACATTTGCCAAAATGCACTGATTGACAAAAGTTCGTGGACTTAATCAGTGTTGGAACTTGAGTTATAATTATACCTGCGGATCCCACTAAATGTTTAAACACAGTGCTTAATTTTAACAGGGTAACTAACCATAATATAGACAAAAGTGGATATGCCTCACTTTACCCGTAGCCTTGCCTAAATTTCTCATAGTCATAGTACCCATTGCTCTAAGATATGCCATATTGGGCAGAGATGTTCTAACATAATGACTAATAAATTAAAATTAACTTTTTGGCATTTACAAATTGGCTTCATAAAACAGGACCCTGTGCACTCCCAATTAAAATAGTTAATACGGCCCAATGTAAGTTAAAACAAGACCTCCAAGGATTAAAACAGTATACATATAAAACTTAATTAATTAAGAGGTAATTATCTCCACTGCTTGTCCATTTGAATTTTGCCTGTTCTCGAACTGGGAAAAATAATAAGTGCCTTAAGATGGATTACTACAACGTTAATGCTGTGGTCCTATCCATTAGGGCCCTATACCCAATGTCCAGTATTATTAAAATTATTGATTCTATTCAATCAACTACCAGTAAATATTTTGCTCTATAGATTGGCTAACATGTTCTATTCAGTTCAACAGCCTTTCAGCTGCGGTTTGTCTCCACCTCCTAAGGGACATAATACAGCTTTTCCAGGCCATCCATGGAGTACTGCAGCAGCCTTGCCATTCCACACAATCTTTACAAACAAGATCTCAGTGACATTCACCTTCTCCAAGAGCACAGGCAGGACACTAAGTCGTCGATGACATCCTGTTGCAAGGAGGTATATTTGATGCACTCACTAAAAACATAAGCCCAATATCCCTTAGTACTTTTGGGTTCTGGTGGTAACATCTTCTTTATTTACAAACTTTACTTATAAGTTAAGATCAACAGGCACTCCTCTTAGTGCCTTCACAAAAAACACTCCTTCACTGTAGAGGCATTGGTAATCTCTTCTGGGCCTCCTGGAGTCTCTAAACCCTGCATTATGGCCATTAGTGGCCCCAAGGCTCCTGATGCAAAAAAAAAAAAAAAAGAAAAGAAAAGAAAATTGTCCCTCTCAGCCTCATGCTATGCACCATTAAAATAAATGGCTGGCCACTTAGGAGCTTTCCTGGAAATAGAGTTTTTTCACAGACCCTGAGCCTAAGGCCCTCCATGCCCCACTGTCCATTGTGCTTTGGGTCATGGAAACAGCACCCCACAAGCTAGGCATGGCCACCAAAACCTTCTTAAGACAGGATGCAGCCAAACCTAGGCTCCAGGACATATTCTACCTGCAGAAGGGTGTGGCTTCCTTTAATTTAGTCTCTTACCAGATGCCAGGGTATTGGAGGGAGTCACCCTTCCCCCAGAGCCCTTGATCACCTGCAAAGCCCCTTGGGATTAACTGAGTGAACAGTAATGGGAATTGGTAGACAATGCAAATGTCACTGTTAACCATCATACACATGGAGCTTAGTGGAATGTGGCTGCTTTCCATTGCTTAACCAGGATGTCCCTGATAAAGGATGGGACCCAAGAAACAACACATTTGATCAAACTTCAGGCAGTCATCTTAGCACTGGATGCCCTGGTCAACAAATGGCCTATCTTCCCATTTATTATAAACTGTTGAGCTGTTACTTGAAAACTATCCCCTTTAAGGTAAAAAAAACTCTGGGAATCTCTTGCCTCACAGACACTAAAAATAGAAAGCAAAATCACATCTCCACATATATTAAGGCCTTCCTAGTGCAAGCCTTATTCCATTCAAAGTTACAGAAAATACTGGTGGTAACCAAGATCACATTTTACTTCTTGGAATACTCAATGAATCAATACTGGGCTCTTACAAAAGGTGTTCAATAGAACTTCCATATCCCTAATTGGTCCCAGGTAACTGGTTTAACAGAGGGACATAATAATCTCCTCAAACAACTTTTTCAAATTCCAATACAACAGATAAACTCCCAAAGTTATCTATCTTGCCCCAGGCCTTAACCTATTATTTAAAATGAATTTATATTTTATTCCCATCCCATAAGGCCTGGAGGCCAGATAGAGGGACTCAATAACCACAGATTGTCTCACAGGTCAGACAGCTGCTCATCTAGTATGAGACCCATTTGAACCGAAACTTCCACCAAAAACAAACAAACAAACAAAAATACCTTTTTGGGTGCAGTTACCCACCATTTTATTAACTGTTGGTCTTATTAATACTGGTTTGGGTGCTTTTATTGGTTACAATCCAGAGATCCCAACCCTCCTGTACCCCATTGTTTCAACCAAACATGGCCATTGGTGAGGCCTGTGTCAACTCAAGTGGGTACCCACTTGAAAAGGATATCCTAGTCCCACATCTCAGACAGCGACATCCTGGCCCAAAATCTCACCACTGGAGATGATGGAGATCACCTCAGAAAACATCATCCCAACACAAGATCTCGCCACTGAAGGTGACTTTGCCCCCTGTGTCAGAGACTGTTTTACCCCGGACATTAAAGCCTCTGTCCCAGCAAAACTCATGGACTGTCTCTCTTAAGACATGAATTGGACACAGGACATTTTTCTTCCCACAGAAGGCACCATCAGCCTTACATCAGAAAACCCCTTGATCCCCAGGAGAGATAGAAAAATAGAAAGATAAATGTATTCTGCAATAATTCATTCTAACCTGTGATTTGTCTTTTCATTTTCTTTGTAGAAATTGGGTCCCACTATATTGCCCAGGCTGGTCTCAAAATCATGGGCTCAAACAATCCTCCTGCCCTGGCCTCCCAGAGTGTTGAGATTGCAGGTGTGAACCACCATGCCAGGTCTGTCTTTTCATTTTCTTAATAGTGTCTTTCACATAGCAGAAAGTTTTGATTTCAGCAAAGTGCAAATGAGCAATTTTTTCTTTCATAGATCCTGCTTTTGGTGTTATAGTAAGAACTATCACCAAACCCAAGGTCCCATAGGTTTTTCTCCTGTGTTGTCTTCTTGAAGGTTTATATTTTGCTTTATAATGATCTCAACAGTATTAAAACATTTACATAAATTATCATTATAGATCTATGATCCATTTTGAGAGAATTTTGTGGCAGGTATAAGGTCAGTGTCTAGATTAATTTTTTTCTACATGTGGATGTCCAGTTGTTCTTGTACAGAACTAGAAGATTATTCTTTCTCTGGTGCCTTACCTTTTCTTCTTTGTCAAAGATCAATTGACTTATAATTTTGTGGTTTTATTTCTGGACTCTGTTCTGTTCCATTGATCTATTTGTCTATTCTTTCACCAATACCCATATTATCTTGATCATCAGAGCTTTATAGTAAGTGTTAAAGTGTAAAGTTAAAGTGTAACTTCTCCAACTTTTCTCTTTATTCTTTAGTATTACGTTGGCTACTCCAGGTCTTTTGCTTATCCATATAAACTTTAAAATTAGTTTGTTGATGTCCAGAAAATAACTTGCTGGGGATTTGATTGGGGTTGCATTGAATCTATAGATCAAGTTGAGAAAAACTGATCTTAACAATATTGAGTCTTCCTAGCCATGAACATAGAATACCATTTATTCCATTTCTTAGAAACTTGATTCCTTTTAACAGTTTTATAGTTTTCCTCATACACAGTGTATACATATTTTGTTTAATTTGTTTCTAAGTATTTCATTCTTGTTGGTTCTAATGTAAATGGTACTGTGTTTATAAATAAATCTCTTTTAGTCAGAATTCATTTACTCTTTCATTCATTCATTCATGAAATGCAACAAACACATGTTATGATTTCTTACCTCTCTTTCTATGCCCTGGTGGGACACATTAGAAAACACAAAATAGTGTATTCACTAGTTCTAAAGCAAAACTCTGCGTTTTCTCCAATTTAAGTTAAATTAGGAAAATTGTCAACATTCTCAAATTCACATTTAAAAACTAAAAGCAATGTTTAATTAAAGGGCTAGTGACGATTAAGAGAGAATTAGGAAAAACAGATAATATTTTCCAATAAAGTGTAATGGGGAGTTTATTTGTTCTTTTTTCGTGACCCACTATGCCCAGCCTGCTTTGCTGAGTTTTGACAACCTTATACATGAGTGTAATCTAAACCCCTGTCACGATATAGAAGATTATCATCACCACAGAAAGTTCTCTCATTCCCCTTCCCTGTTAATTTTCCTTTCGTCTTCCCATGCTGTCTTGTGTATCAGCCATCTCTCTTTTCCTTCACATTGCCGAGTAGTATTCCAGTGTGTGGGCAATTGAGTTTATTTATTCATTCTCTTATTAATGGATACCTGTGTGGTTCCCAATTTTAGCTGTTATATAAATAAGCCTGCTATGAAGATTCTTACCAAAGTCTTTGGCGGGGGAGCATATATTTTCATTTCTCCTGGAATGAAATGGCTTATGCCCATAGGTTAACTGTGAGTTTAGTTTTATAGGAGACTTCCAGACCTTTTTCCAAAGTGGTTGTGCCATTTTAAAGTTCCACCAACAATGTTTGCTTTAGGTTCTTGCCAACATGTGGGTCTTCTTAATTTTAGCTATTCTGGTGGGCGTCAAGTGATAGCTCATTATAGTTGTAATTTGCATTTTCTTGATGACTAATGATATTGAACATTTTTTCTGTGCTTATTGGCTATCTGTACATCTTCTTTTGTGAAATGTCTGCTACAATCATTTGGATGTTTTTATTGGGTTGTTATTTTATTATTGATTCGTGGGATTTCTTTACGTATTTAGATGTCGGTTCTTTGCCAGATATTACATCTTGTGAACATTTTACCCTTATCGATAGCTTGCCTAGCTTCTTAACAGTGGTAGCTTTCATAGTTTCTTACACAGTGGCTTTTGATGAACAAAAGTTTTAATTTTTATGAAGTATAATTTTAAATTTTTTTAGTTTTTACTTTTATTTTATGGTTATTGCTTTCTATGACCTAGGAAACTTTTGTCTATCCCTGAATGTATTATCTAGATTCTCCAGAGAAACAGAACAAATAGGGTGTGTGTGTGCGTATATGTGCACGTGTGTGTATGCGTGCGTGTGTGTATATATATATGTTGTTTAATTTGTTTCTAAGTACTTCATTCTTGTTGGTTCTAATGTAAATGGTACTGTGTTTATAAATAAATCTCTCTTAGTCAGAATTCATTTACTCTTTCATTCATTCATTCATTCATGAAATGCAACAGACACGTTACGACTTCTTACCTCTCTTTCTATGCTTTGGTGGGACACATTTTATGTGTGTGTATATATATATTGTGTATATATATACATAATACATATACATATATATTATGTATATATACACATAAATACATATGCATATATATTATGTATATATACATAAATACATATGCATATACATTATGTATATATACATAAATACATATGCATATACATTATGTATATATACATAAATACATATGCATATACATTATGTATATATACATAAATACATATGCATATACATTATGTATATATACATAAATACATATGCATATACATTATGTATATATACATAAATACATATGCATATACATTATGTATATATACATAAATACATATGCATATATTATATACATAAATTATATTATATACATAATACATATACATATATTATGTGTATATATACATAAATACATATACATATATTATGTGTATATATACATGATACATATACATATATTATGTATATATATACATAAATACATACATATATTATGTGTATATATACATAAATACCTATACATATATATTATGTGTGTGTATATATATACACACACATATAGAGGGAGAAAGAGAGAGATTTTAAGGGATTGGCTTTCAAGATTGTAGAGGTTGGCAAGTACAAAAATCTGCAGGGTAGACCAGCAGGCTGGAGACCCAAGGAAGGGTTGATGCAGCTCAAGTCCAATGGTAGAATTATTTCTTCTTCAGCGGACCTCAATCTTTTATTCTAAAGGCCTTTAACTGATCTTTAACTGATTGAATGAGGTCTACCACATTATGGAGGGTATCTGCTTTACTCAAAGTCTACTGCTTTAAATCTTAACCTCATCTCAAAATACCTTCACAACAACATCTAGACTAGTGTTTGACCAAATATCTGGGTAAGATACTGTGGCCTAGCCAAGTGGATCCATACAATTAAAGATCACAGCAAGTAATGAAGAGACTCTCCTCTTTTCCTTTGAAAGCATTATGATTTTAGCTTTTATATTTAGGCATATCATCTACCTCAAATCTATTTTTGTATATGGTGAGAGATAGAGGTTGAGTTTCTTTTTTTTTTTTGAAATAGAGTCTTGCTCTGTCGCCCAGGCTGGAGTGCAGTGGCGTGATCTCACCAGTCTCCTGCCTCAGCCTCCCGAGTAGCTGGGACGACAGGTGCCTGCCACCATGCCCAGCTAATTTTTTTGTATTTTTAGTAGAGCGGGGTTTCACCGTGTTAGCCAGGAGGGTATTGATCTGCTGACCTCGTGATCCACCCACCTCAGCCTCCCAAAGTATTGGGATTACAGGCGTGAGCCACCGCACCCGGACTGAGCTTCATTTTTAAAAATATGGATATTGGCCGGGCGCTGCGGCTCACACCTGTAATCCCAGCACTTTGGGAGGCCGTGGTGGGGGGATCACGAGGTCAGGAGTTTGAGACCAGCCTGGCCAACATGTTGAAACCTCGCCTCTACTAAAAATACAAAAAATTAGTCAGGCATGGTGGCACGCACCTGTAATCCCAGCTACTCAGGAGGCTGAGTCAGGAGAGTCGCTTGAACCTGGGAGGGGAGGCGGAGGTTGCAGTGAGCTGAGATCATGCCTCTGCACTCCAGCCTGGGTGATAGAGCAAGACTCTGCCTCAAAAAAAAAAAAAAAAGGATATCTAGATATTTCAGTACCATTTGTTTAGTAGTACTTTATTTTTCCATTGGATTGCTTTGGCTCCTTTGTCAAAAAGCTAATAACTGTATACACTTATATACAATCTTTAATGTAGCTGAAATATATTTGTGCTCCTTAATCAGTTCTGTATTCATGTGTCTTCTGTTTTATTTTGCATTTTCAAAATTTATTTATTTCAAAGACAAGGTCTTGCTTTGTTTCCCAGGCTGGTCTTGAACTCCTGGCCTCAAGTGAACCTCCCTCCTAAGCCTCCCAAAGTGCTGGGGTGACAGGTGCAACCCACATGCCTGGCTTCTCTTGTGTTTTAGAAGCTTTCTATAATGAACTTTTGTGGGGAGGGTGGAATGCAGGCTAAAACTTGGAAACTGAGCAGATATTAGTAAGCTTCTTATTTATGACTGTATCTTTAATGAAAATTTGTATAGGATTCAAAGAAATATTTAATCAATTTGAAATGGACAGCAAGAGGACAACAATAAAAAACAGACTGAATTTAGTAAATTGCCTGGCTGAATTTCAACTCAGTTTGGTAGTGACCTAGCTGTCATTTCTTTCTTTTTCACTGTTTATATTTCTATCAGATTTCCACAACAGGACGTTTACACATAATAACCATGGGTTGTCTAAATCCAGTTCCTATATAACATTTATTTAAAAATTTCTGTGGACTTGACAAATTCAGACAGGAGTTTATAGATAATAGTGATATGACTATTATTGCAGAATGAATTAAAATCATGTTTAGGACAAATGCACTTTAATGCAATAGATTGTGGTTGGTTGGCATTAAATATTTAGTAGAAGAATTCTGCTTAATATTAGTGTAATTAAAGGACACTGATGTAGGTAGGTATGCATATATATACATATCTAAGTTATATAAAGGACTTTATTAACGCTTAATACAGGATATTTGTACATACATAAATATGCTATTATCTTATATGAAAAACTACAAATCCTATTGGTTGTATTTCTGTTTATTGTTAATGTTTCTAAAACATTTGGAGAAAATGATATTACTCTTATAATGCATTCTTTGTAAGCTTCTCATGACAGAGATGTTGTAATCTCTGTCAGTTGGTTGATTATAAAGCACAACCCATGTAAATATCTGTACTAGATGAGTTTGTTGATCATGGGCTGATGAGATTTTGACTTCAGGTCTCCTGTCTTCCTTTCCTCATATCATCATTTAAATTCTTTAAAAGAAAATCGTCAATCGATTGTCAAAAGTGGAATGCCAAAATCTGCTGGAAATCTTGAATGTACACTATTCTGGGGTGAAGAATGGAGATATATATATATACAGATAGAAAGATATAAAACCACTGTTAGGAACACTATAACACGCATTGAGGTGATGCATATTGGCCAAATAATCATGCTTTCATGTGAATTATCTCTGTTAACTTTATAGAAAAATACAGATGTGAGGACGATTGTTATTGTCACTTCAGCTGTGAAAAAAATGACAAATCATACTGACAATTTAGACTAATGTTCAAGGTAGGTGGTTAGTAAAATGGGAAGGTGATTCCCTGCTTCTGATGAAGAAGCCCAATTATCTGGGCAAAGATACTTGCAACTGTAATCTTGCAAGTGAAAATTTTACACGTATAAACTCAGCATCAAAGTTTCCATGGTGATATTTCATCAGTCTCCTGATGCATAACACATGTTTAATCATTTTTTTTTGTTATGTGAATCAGCTAACCACAGTATATATTTATAGCATTTCAGATTATGTAAAGAAATCCCTCAAGCTGGGTATGATATGATGCTGGGGTGGTGGTGGTGGGAGGAGAAGAGTATTTTATTCTTGTTCCCCTTAACTCTATAAAAAGTAACTAAAGGAGAGGACAGAGTTTGCATTGTTTATTTAACACTTAAATGACTATGGCTGATGAATAAATATAAAGCAATAATGTGTTAGTTGATTATAGCTGGATTTAAGAATTTCTTGGGCAGGTTTTTAGGTCTCTTAATTGTTTTCTCCCTTCTCTCTGGATGACAGGTTTCCTCTAGGAAATGAGCTGTGGAGTGTGATCTAGATGTGGAGAGGAATGTCAGCCAAAGGATCAAGAGTCCAGGTGCAGGCTGGGCACGTTGGCTCACACCTGTAATCCCAGCACTTTGGAAGGCCGAGGCAGGCATATCACCTGAGGTCAGGAGTTCGAGACCAGCCTGGCCAACATGGTGAAACCCCCGTCTCTACTAAAAATACAAAAGTTAGCCGGGCATGGTGATGCACCTGTAATACTAGCTCCTGAGGAGGCTTAGGCAGGAGAATTGCTTGAACCTAGGAGGCTGAGGTTGCAGTGAGCCTAGATCATGCCATTGCACTCCAGCCTGGGAGACAAGAGAGAAACTCCATCTCAAAAAAAAAAAAGAGTCCAGGTGCAGATCTTTGATGTGTGTTTGTATGAGCCTTACAGATTACCTATCTTGAAAAAAGAATAAAAAATTGAGAAGGAGAACTGAAGATATTTTTCAGGTAGCATAGAGGAGTGAGTATCAAAGAATGAGCTTTAACTGTCTTATATTTTAGATAAACATTACTTTGAACCATGTAATTGCAGGTAGACCATCATCCTACCTACAAAAACAACAATATCATGAGTCAGGTGAATACTGTAAAATACAAAATACTTACTAAAAAGCCCAATAAAGATTTGGGGTCATTACAAGTTGATCACAATGTATATGCTGCATCCCTAATTGACATCTGTTTTGCTTTAAGGGATGAACACTTTGGGTATTTTTACTTCTTATAATTCTGGCCAAGTATGTTTAGATAAGATTGAAAACAACCATGAAAACCTTCCTTCTTCCCAGATCTCCAAACATGTTAAGTGCCAAGTTCATTCTAAGAGTTGCTCATTCAGGAAGTTTCTGACTTTTTAAAATCTGGATTGAAAAGGCAGTTACTCTCTCAGAATGATAAAAATCTTAGAAGCACTGGCTGAGGCCCATCAACTCCTATTTTTCAGAGACAACTGTCACCTTAAACAGATTTTAAACGTACTCATTGTTTCCAGCGCAGCCACCACACTTTATCATTCTCGTGATTGATTATCTGTCGCTGTCATCTGCATTCATGTGGTTTTCAGAAAAGAACAAATATATTTCTCAGTGATTTAAAAGTCCTTGAGAGATGACAAAGTAATAGTAACAGGAAGCTATTATTACTAAACTCTTAGGTTTCATTTTTAAATATATCACACAACGGCATCATAATCGTTTTGCATGTTTCAGAGTAACTCTGTCAGTATGTGCTGTGACTTTGCAGTTCAAAGGACAGGCCCTTCGTGACAACCAAAGAGCATTGAACTAAAGATGCCCTTGAAAAACGATTTCCCAAAGTCTGAGTTTACTCATCTGTGGAAATTGAATAATGCTGCCTGGCCTGCTTAGTTATTGTAATGAAATTACAATAATGAATTTGTCTAATGAATTATTTCATGGAAATGATCTACAAACTTTAAAGCATGAAATAAAAGTGAAGTCATTTAAGAAAAAAGGCAAAGAGAAAAGTGAAAGTATTTAAAAGAAAAATAAGTGCTCTGAAATTAAGTGACTGGGACATCTAGAATGAAAATTTCTAGTGTGCAGCCTGCATTAAGGGAATAGTAACAAAGACCAGCCAAGGTTGGTGTTTGGTTTACGGTGACATTATTCCTGAAGTTGAAAATGACCCTGTTCTTGCATCCAGTGGGGCCTGGGGGAAGACTAGGTGAGGGGGTAGAGGACACCGGATGGGTTAGCAGAAGACACTGCCTGCTAGCCAGGTGGACCGTGGCCAGGGCCACTCAACCTTGAGCCTCAGCTGCACTTCATTCAAGCTACCACAGTTGACTTTGAAACCTCGAGACCAGTTCATTCTGTGCGGCAGCATTTCTCTGTCTTGCTCACCTTGCAAAATGTAAACTCTCCATGTATCCTTCCTCTCCTCTGCTCCCACCTGCAGTTTCTTCTGGGCTTCCTGTAACTAGAGTTCCCATGGCTCCTCTCCTATGAAAAGTTTTCCATGTACCCTCTGGGACCCTTTAGTCAAATCCATTTCACCTACTTCTGCACCTACGCCTACACAGAATACCTTCTACCTCTTTGCCTTCCTGAAGCTCGGTTGTCCTGGAATAGTCCTGGCATCCCTTGGAGGAGGATGCTAATTTGACTACCCCTCAGGGCTGCAGATGGGATTCGCATCCTTCTAAAGTCCCTGAATCAATTTTCAAACAATTGCCCTTCCTTTCTTCAGTAAAAGGACCCTCAATTGGCCAGGCACTTCTGACCGCAGTATTTCTTCTTTCAGCCACTGTCTCTATCATCCACTAACCTCCCACTCATTCTTGAGACCCTGAAGATTTCTGCTCTTGCCATGTTGGCTTCCTCTCTCCCGGTCCAGGCTTCGTCATGCATCTTCAACGTGGATAAACAGAACACTAGACTTGCAGCCCCTCTAGTGACTTTCTTCCCTCCACTTTGGCAATAGCTAACTGCTAGAGATGGCCATAACCCAGGACTCACCCCTCTCTTCTGAACTAAGTCTTCTCCCCTACGACTACAGCTTCCTCTCTTTTCATCTTTCATTCCCATCTGCCAACTATAACCAGTCTCCCACCACATGGAATCCAGCAGCTGTGTAATTCTTCCATTTCCTTCTGATTTATTAGCTCTTCACTGCCTTTATTTCCTTCTCTATGCAGTGTAGACACTGTGGTCCATTATTTTAACTAATCTCCTTTTAAAGAGGCCTTTCAATTCACTAGTTCCTTTACTCTTCCCCTCACCTAGCAAATCTCTATCTTCATGTCACTCAAAGAACTGACATCTGCTGCAGAAAATGGCAAAACTGGGCTGAGCACGGTGGCTCACGCCTGTAATCCCAGCACTTTGGGAGGCTGAGGCAGGCAGATCACGAGGTCATGAGTTTGAGACCAGCCTGGCCAATATGGTGAAACCTCGTATCTACTAAAAAAAAATACAAAAATTAGCCAGGCGTGGTGGTGGGTGCCTGTAGTCCCAGCTACTTGGGAAGCTGAGGCAGGAGAATTGCTTGAACCTGGGAGGTGGAGGTTGCAGTGAGCGGAGATCATGCCACTGCACTCCAGCCTGGGCAACAGAGTGATACTTCGTGTCAAAAAAAAAAAAAAAAAAAAAAACCAAGAAAATGGCAAAACAGAAGAGGTGATTACCACCGCACATGTGCAGTCTCTGACTCAGTGGTGTTCTCAACACATCTCAACATTCTCTTTTGTTTCTTGTCAGTTTTCTCTCCCATTTATCTTTCCTCAAGCCCACTACTCAACCTCTTTTTAATCACTCTTAGCAATTATCTCCCCTCCTGTTTCATAGATAAAATGGAAGCTACTGGGCAAATTCCAGGTTCCACTTCCCACTTGTTCTCTGTAGTAGACTTGGCTTGTTTATATTGCCTAAATTTCTTTCCTCTTCTTTTTATGAGAGCATCTTGTAAGAGATTTTCAGCCAAGGAGAAGAGATGGAGAGATAAAAAGGTGCCTCACAAGCAAGAGTCATGATGCCAAATGAATGACCGCCCTAAGCACTGCAGGAGTTGAGGTCAGAAGTGGAAGACATATAGGGAAACTTTCCTGGAGGAGTCAGGAGACTTGGACTGGGGATTACCAGAGAAGAGAAGGACAGTCATTTCAGGCAGAGAGATGCCTCAGCAGGAGGGAGAGTGGGAATGTACATGGAGCTCTTGAAGACAAAGAGGCCATCACTAAGAAGTGCTTGGCCAGAGGATGAAAGACAGCAAAGGCAGAGGGGAAAACAAAGTAAAGCCAGCTTTGCTCCCACTGAATTCTTTTTAATTTTTTTTTTTTTTTTTTTTTTTTCAGATGAAGTCTCGCTCTGTCACCCAGGCTGGAGTGCAATGGCATGATCTTGGCTTACTGCAACCTCTGCCTCTTGGGTTCAAGCGATTCTTCTGCCTCAGCCTTCTGAGCCCGAGTAACTGGGACTACCCTGCCACCACGCCCAGCTAATTTTTGTGTTTTTAGTAGAGACAGGGTTTTCCCATGTTGGCCAGGCTGCTCTCGAACTCCTGAACTCAAGTGATCCGCCCGCCTCAGCCTCCCAAAGTGCTGGGATTACAGGCATGAGCCACCACGCCCGGCGGCTCCCACTGAATTCACACTAAAGAGTCCCCCCACCCCAATTCCCTCTTCCTACTCTTGGCCTCCTCCTGATCCCTCCATGTATTCATTGCACAAATATTTATTTCTTGCCTACTCTGTGACAGGCACCACATACAGTGCTGAGATTCCACACTGGCAAAACAAGGCAGCCCTTCCTGTTTTGTAACTTTACAAGGGAAAAAATTTATAGAGCACTTATTCTGTGTCCAACATTGTGCTAAGTACTTTACAAGCATACCTCGTTTATCTTCCCAATCCTAAATGGTTGGTATGGTTATTATTGGCGTTTTTACAGAAAGAGAAACTAAGGCTTAGAAAGGTTGTTTCATTCTTCAAAGGCTGCACTAAGAGTAGGTGGCTGCAAGCGGTAGTTGAGCCTAAATGATCTGGCTTAGAATGCCAAGTTCTCAGTTTTCATATCAGCCTGTTAATTGTCTACAAAGTTTTGCCATTATCAATTGTCTGTTTATATTCTTCAACCTGTATTATTTGTTAAGGACACAGCAGACATTGATAATTAAATGTCTAATGGAGGAATTTTGCCTTCCACTGGGTTAAATAGAACGCAAAAGATCTTTTTTATACAGCTGACCCTTGAACACCATAAGAGTTGGGGTACTGACCCTTTATGTAGTCAAAAATCTACGTATAACTTTTGACTCCCCCAAAACTTAACTATTAATATCCTGCTGTTGACCAGAAGCCTTACCAATAACACAAAGTCAATTAACACATATTTGGTGTGTTACATGTATTATATACAGTATTTTTACAACAAAATAAGATACAGAAAAAATGTTATTAAGAAAATCATAAGGCAGAGAACATATATTTACTATTCATTAAGTGGGAGTGGATCATTTTCATGTTTAGTAGGCTGAGGAGGAAAAGGAAGAGTTGGTCTTGCTGTCTTACGGGTGGCAGAGGTGGAAGACATGAAGGTGGAAGGGGAGGCAGGAGAGGTAGGAACACTTGGTGTAACTTTATGGAAACGTCTCATAATTTCTCTCTGTCTTTTGCTTTTTTATTTCTCAAAAAGTGATTCTATCGCTTGAACCTGGGAGGGTGAGGTTGCAGTGAGCCGAGATTGTGCCACTGCACTTCAGCCTGGGTGACAGAGCGAGACTCCGCCTAAAAAAAAAAAAGTCTATATGGTATCAATCCTTCTTCTGCCATTTGCTTTAGTTTCAGTGCCCATATCATAGATGGTTCATGTCATACAAGAAGCCAAAAATGGTCTTGAATAATCAGAATGCGCCTGCCAGATTATCTAATGTCAATTTGTTTTCTGGCACTGCACTGTTTTTTCTATGCCTTCTTTCTCATCATCTGGCACTGGTTTGGAAGCATTCATCTGCATCAAGTCATCGTCTGTTAATTCCTCCGGTGTGGTGTCTTTTAGCTCTTGAATTCCTCCAAGACCCACATCTGGAAACCCTTCACCCCTGCCCCCCACCTTTTTGCCATCTCCACAGTCTCTTTTATGATTTTTTTGATTGGCTCTATCATAAATCCTGGGAAGTCATGCTCAATATCTGGACAGTTTTCCCCAGCATAAATGTATTATTTCAGACTTGATGGCTTTTGTGGCTTTTTCTGTAATAACAATGGCATCTCTGATGGTGTAATCCTTCCAGACAGAATAAATGATGTTCTGTCTATCAGGGCTGTCTTCCATAGCATTGACAATCCTTCCATAGAGTACTGTGTATAATGAGCCTTAAAGGTCCTTATGATCCCCTAATCTAGGGACTGAATTAGAGACATTGTGTTTGGGGGCAATTAGACCATTTCAATGGCTGCCATGTTGAATTCAGGGGATTCTGGGTGCCCAGGAACATTGTCCAATATCAAAAGAACTTTAAAATGCAGTCCTTTACTGGCAAGGTACTTCCTGAGTTCAGGGACAGAACTGATAAAACCAATCCAGAAAAAGCATTCCCACTTTTCAGGACTTCTTGTTATATAACCAAAAGACCGGTGACTGGTGTTTATCTTTTCCCTTCAAGGCTCAGGGGCTAGTGCCTTTATAGATAAAGGCAGTCCTGATCATAAACACAATTGTATTTGCACAAAACAGTAGAGTTATCCTATCCCTTCCTGACTTAAATCCTAGTGCCTGCTTCTCTTCTGTACTAATAAATATTCATCCTTTGCGGCATTATTTTTCCCCAGAATAAGGCACTTTTATTTGCATGAAGATCCTGTTTAGGCAGATATCCTTTCTCCTCCATGATTTCCTTACTGGTGTCTGGGAACTTGTCTGCTGTCTCTTGGCTGGTAGAAGCTGCTTCTCCTATTATCCTGACCTTTTTTAAACCGAAACTCTTTCTAAAACTATCAAACCATCCTTTGCTGGCATTAAATTCTCCAGCTTTAGATCCTTCACCTTCCTTTTTATTTAAGTTGTCATATAATAACTTTACTTTTTATTAAGTCATATTAGCCTCTACAGGTATGCCTTTCTTATAACAATCCTGCACCCACAAAAAAGCTGCATCTTCCTTCCTTCCTTCCTTTCTCTCTTTCTTTCTTTTTTGAAACAGGGTCTCACTCTGTCACCCAGGCTGGAGTGCAGTGGCATGATCTCAGCTCACTGCAACCTCTGCCTCCCAGGCTCAAGCGATTCTTTCACCTCAGCCTCTGGAGTAGCTGGGACTACAGGCTTGGCACCATGCTTGGCTAATTTTTGTGGGTTTTTCTGTAGAAAGACTGAGTTTCACCATGTTGCCTAGGCTGGTCTTGAACTCCTGGACTCAAGGGATCCACCTGCCTTGGCCTCCCAAAGTGCCGGGATTACAAGTGTCAGCCACTGCACCCAGCTGCTGCATTTTCAATATAAGATAAAAACATAGTTTGCATAAAATGCAAGATTTTCACACATGGCAGTTTAACTGCAGAAATGGCTTTACAAATTTCTTTTTCTTTTTTTTTACAATGGTTCTCAATGCTTGATTCTTTTATCTTGAAATGGTGGGCAAACACAGCTGCAGATCTCAATCTATGGTACATATTAAGCAATTCAGCTTTTTCTGGTAATATCATGAGTTTTCTCTGCTTCTTGTGAGCACTCCAAGCATCACTAGTGGCACTTTTTATGGGCCCCATGGTGCTAATCAAGGTTTATTATATTGCACTACACATGATGAAAAATATGTGAGACTGTGAGATCACTTTTTACTGCAATATGCCATTTACTGGAGAGATGAACTGCTCACGCAGAGATGATTAGCATCGTATGGCATTTTCAGTGTTTGATACTCCCAACCCTTGAGCTCACTGCAATAGCAACAGGAGGTGGCTATACAATTTTTAACTGCATAAATTTAAGATTTAAACTACAAAATTTTTAATTGCATAAAATTCACTGTAGTGAGTACTACAGTGAATTGTATGAAATTACGATTCAGTACTGCATTTTTACATTTGTTTACATTTCTTTCAATTGCAAATGATGCCATATATGGTCTAAGTATTTGTGTGTGCAACTTTTCATAATTTTTAACTCTTAATATAATAGTTTGTATATATTTTAAGGTAGTAAGTGATAAAATAGACTAGTATCTACATGTGTGTTATGCATTAATAACATACCTAAATTTTTCTTAATTGAAAAATATTTCTAGACTACGCAACTCATCTGTGAGATTTTTCAAATTGCTGCAGTTCTCTGAAAATTTTTCCAATATACTTATTGAAAAATATCTATGTGTAAGTGGACCTGCACAGCTCAAACTCATGTTGTTCAAAGGTCAATCGTATATGGAGAATCCTAAAATCCAATAGAGCAGAATCACTCCGCAAATAAATCATTCCCTGTCTAGAACTCCTTGGGCATGTCCTGTGCTAAAAGCAAATTTCCTCACATTAAATACAATAACAAATATTTAGGTATAAGCACTGGGTGGTTAACCATGGTTCTACAAATACTTCCCACTGAACAATACACTGCTGCCTGAGGGAAGTGTAATTATTGTGAATATTTATTAATTTAAAAATGAAAAATATTTACTGTATACATATCACAGGAAAGAATATTATAGAAAATAAAAAGAACTAAGAGATGCAGTAATTAATTGTACAATTCAGCTTTGTTTATTTTTAATGTTTTTCCTGATTATAAAAACAATATATATCCACCATAGAAAATTTGAAAAATATTAAAAGGTACAGGAAAGGAGAGTCATCTATATACTCTACTGTTACCCAAAGACAACAGCTAGGAGCTAGTTTTATTCCTATGCAGTTGATTAATAATGCGGATATCGTTTAATTTTGTAACAAAATACAAATATTTTACGTATTTGAGATTCTACACAATTTTGCTTCAATAGTCTTTAGACACATCTTTAATGTGTTTCCTCCTAAGAGTGTACAATCCAGTGGAGAGACAATACATTTGCTCATAAAAATAACAGGCTGGGTGCGGTGGCTGAGGCTGAGGTGGGGGCGGGGGGGCAGATCATGAGGTCAGGAGTTCGAGACCAGCCTGGCCAATATGGTGAAACCCCATCTCTCCTAAATATACCAAAATTAGCCGGGTGTGGTGGGACTACAGTGCCTGTAGTCCCAGCTACTCGGGAGGTTGAGGCAGAAGAATCACTTGAACCCAGGAGACGGAGGTTGCAGTGAGCCGAGATCATGCCACTGCACTCCAGCCTGGGCTACAGAGTGAGACTCCATCTCAAATAATAATAATAATAATAATAATAACACTAGGAGGTGCATGTTAGGGACCTAGTGAATAACAACACTAGGAGGTGCATGTTAGGGACCCAGTGACTCAAACAGAGAGCATGTGTAGCATGAATTCAGATGGAGGAGAGATGGGTTTTTGCATGTTTACGTAGTTAAAGGAGGTTACCTGAAGGGCCAATTCGAATGGGATCTTGAAGTAACGGAAAGTTCCAGTGAAAGTGGCACTGAAGAGGGAAGGAACAGAACTGTTCTAGGATCTAAGGGAGTTGCTAATGTAGCAAACTCAAAACTGTATGGAGTGAATGTTTGCAGATCTCATTCAGGCACTAGAATTCAGCAGGAGGAAGTGGTGAATCCCAGTGTCCCCAGATCTGAAAAATTTTTTTCTGAATATGCAGGTTCCTGAAAAGATAAAAAGCTGACCTTCAGCATCAAACTACCCTCTGCTGGCAAGCTTCCTGATGCCACACAGTGCCCTGTGTTTGTGCTGCTGACACGTGTCACATGCAAATACAGTGGTTTATGAAGTGTATTGCCCAGTGTTGTCAAAGAGCTTACAGCTCAGGTGCTGTTCATCCAGGTGTCAGCCCAGTGCCCATAAGACTCAGTGCACAGATAATAACTGGCAGCCAGGGCTAGACTGCTCCAGGAGGCAAAAAAGATCATCCATCTTTTGTGTTCTTTCTCTTTTTCAGCATCAAGGCCACCGCCCCCGATATAGTCATGGTCTGAAATCGTGGGAGCAAACAAGTGTGGGCGAGCCCATTCCAAGCGCTGACACATAGGGCCTGTTTGGGAGAAAGCAATGAGGCAGCTGAGTGAATATTGAGATGACCATCTCACTTCAGCACGGGAGTACTCTGAGGACAGGGAGGGTGGGAGAGTGCATGGCTGGGCTGGGGACACCTTCCAAATATGCATGACAGGACAGAGCAGTGGATGGCATTGGAATACCCTCAGCTCCTCCCCCTGTCATTTGATCTGTTTCTCATCCATCTTTCTTCACTTGCTTCTAGGACAGCCCTTTCTTCTTTTCCTTCCTCTCCTTACCTCTCATACCCATGGAGTATGTGTTGAATGAGACATGAGCAGGGACCAATTATGATTTAACACTCACAGGCAAAGTGTGATTGGAGGGCATGGGTAAGAGACAGTGATGAAGGCAGGAAAATGATAAGCATCACTCAGGCCACCGGTGGTCAGGCCACCATGGGCCTGTGTGGGCAGGAAGAGGATATGAAGGGGCATCATCTGTCACTGCTGCCTCCTGGCAGGCCCTGTCTGGAGGCTGAGCCCTGATCTGCACACCTCAGAGCATAGCCACCTTACCACAATAAGAGGAGTTGGCAACACCCTCAGCCAAAGGTAACAGAGAAGCTGAGCGCCTGCTCCGTCTGTATTCCCTGACAACTGGACGTGGCACCACTGGGGAGTTAGAGATTCAGGGC